>NW_025791753.1:300000-516764 GCF_000001405.40 Homo sapiens
AAAGTGCTGGGATTACAGGCGTGAGCAACCGCGCACGGCCAACATCTACTTTCTTGCAGTATTAACTGATGTTTGTTTAAGAGATATAAACAGATTTCGGCCGAGCTCAGTGGCTCACACCTGTAATCCCAGCACTTTGGGAGGCCGAGGCGGGCGGATCACGAGGTCAGGAGATGGAGACCATCCTGGTTAACACGGTGAAACCCCATCTCTACTAAAAAATACAAAAAATTAGCCGGGTGTGGTGGCGGGCGCCTGTAGTCTCAGCTATTCGGGAGGCTGAGGCAGGAGAGTGGCGTGAACCCAGGAGGCGGAGCTTGCAGTGAGCCAGATCGCGCCGCTGCACGCCAGCCTGGGAAACAGAGCAGGACTCCGCCTCAAAAAAAAAAAAAAAAAAAAAAAGATATAAACAGATTTCAATATTAAGTCAAATAAAAGAAGAAAGATAAATCTGTTCAAAATTATACAGCATACTAAAAAGATATGCTTTTAAATGTCTTCTCTGTCCTATGATTCAGAATAAACTAGAGGTCAGGAGACAGTTCCATGAGATATCCTTTTGGATATCCCAAACTAAATTAATTCTCTCCTTTTCCTGACATCTGCTTCTCATACCATATTATCTATCTCAGTTAATGAAATTACTATTTACTCTCTGACTGGCCTAGGAATTTGTTTAGACAGAGTTTACTTGTCTAGAGTAATAAACTGGAGAATAACATTTGTTTCCACCATCTCCCTCATTTCCCACACTCAATTAATCAAAAAATCCTATCAGTTCTAACTCAAATTCTCCAACCTATCTCTTCCTCGCCATTCCCAATACCAGTGCCTGTGTTCAGGCCCTTATTACCTTTGGCCGTGAACCACTTGCAACAGTTTCTCAGTGATCTTCACTCAATCCACTTAAGCCCATCTCTCACACGATTGCCACACTTACAACTCTAAAACAAAGATCTATGTCTGCCAGACTCTTCTTTAAAAGCTTCTATAATTCCACACTGTCTACAAAAATAAAAGCCAACCGCCTCTGTGTCTTAGCTGAAATGACAGAATACAAAAGTTTCTCAGAATGATCTATAAATGCAACCTTTTCTTTAATATGGAGGTTCTTTAACCCTGGTATACATGAGAAAACTTGTAGTGCATTTAAAGAACACTGATGCTAAGACCTCAATCTGAAAAAGTCTGATTTAATTGGTCTGGAATGAAGCCTTACATCAGCTTTTTAAAGACCTCCCCCAAATAATTCTAATATGTAGTCAGGGTTGAAAACTACTAATTTATAACGTGGCTAGAAAGACACTTCTACTTCCAGACAGCATGCGGTAATAGGGTTGGTATTCATTCCCCTTCACCCCTGACAGAAATTACTAAAAAATAGGACAAGATATATAAAATAATTATTTTCAGACACTGGATATCAGACAACATAGGAAAGTTATCCAAGAGAAGAGAGAAACAAGCAAAGTAAGCCATACAACTGTCCTACTTAACTGCCCCAGAGCTCACAGAGAGGGAATCCAGGCAGAGCCTGGTGATCTGCCTGAGTTGAAGAGATCATGCAGAGATTTGAGAAGGCCAAGGCAGGTAGAGTTCATGGGGAAGAGTACCAGAAAGAATAGAAAATTCCAGAGATCTGTGGAGAGTCTCCTTAAATATTCAGCTGAATACTGATCGGTATATCAGGAAACTACCAAGGTTGGGGTAAGAACCACACAAGAGAATCAGATTAAACAATCCTCTTGGCTCATACAAGGCTGGAAGTAGTTTGTTTCATCATCTACTAAAGTGGGAAAAGCCTCATAATTAACAGGATATTGGCTAGAGTACTTAGAAGGGTATCACCCAAGTAATGGGGAAAATTAATCATCTTTAAAAAGTTGCTTGGGTTCCCCATAATGAAGCTTAAGATCAAGAAGGATCTGTTTCCAACTAACTTAACTGTGACCCAGAATAAAGCTCAATAATGTTTATGGGAATGCAAAACTATCTAACACCCAATATGTAAAATGTTTAATGTGTGGTATCAAATCAAAGTATTGCCAGGTGTGCAAAGAAGCAGGAAACAGTACTTAAAATGAAGAGAAAAATCAATTACCAGAAACATACTCAGAACTGAACAAATGTTAGAATTGTTATTATAGTATTTTAAATGTTCAAGAAAGTAGAACAAAGATTGATAAAATGAAGTAAAATATTAATACATGGGCGGGGCACAGTGCCTCACGCCTGTAATCCCAGCACTTTGGGAGGAGGTGGGCAGATCACCTGAGGTCAGAAGTTTGAGACCACCCTGGCCAACATGGTGAAACCCCATCTCTACTAAAAATACAAAAATTAGCCAGGCGTGGTGGTGGGTGCCTGTAATCCCAGCTACTCAGGAGGCTGAGACAGGAGAATTGCTTGTACCCGGGAGGCAGAGATTGCAGGTTGCAAGGAGCTGAGACCGTAACATTGACAAGAGTGAAACTCCATCTCAAAAAAAAAGAAAAAAAATTAATACATGAAAGTTACAAACTTCTAGAGATGAAAAAGACAATATCTGAGATGAAGAATACACTGGATGGAATTAACAACAGATTAGACACTGTAGAAGAAAAAGTTAGTGAACTTAAAGACATAGCAATGAAAATGATCCAAAAATAAAACAAGGAAAAGAAAACAAAAAGTGAACAGAGCATCAGTGATCAATGGGAAAAATTTAAATGACCTAATATATATGTAACTGAAGTCCCTAAAGGAAAGGAGTTATAGAGGGCAACAAAAATTTTTGAAAAAATAATGGCTGAAAATTGTCCAAGTATAATGAAAACTGTAAACACACAGATCCGGTAAGTGTAACAAATCCAAAGCACGAGAAACATGAAAGTAACCACACCTAGGCACATTTTAATCAAATTGCTTAAGATCAGTGATAAAGAGAAAAATTTATAAGTATTCAGGAGAAAAAAGAACATTATATAGAGAGAAACAAGGATAAGAATGAGAGCATAACTTGAAAATTAAAAGACAACAGAGAAGCCAGGCGCAGTGACTCGTGCCTGTAATTCCAGCACTTTGGGAGGCTGAGGAGGGCAGATCACCTGAGGTCAGCAGTTCGAGACCAGCCTGACCAACATGGAGAAACCCCATCTCTACTAAAAATACAAAATTGGCTGGGCATGGTGACGTATGCCTGTAATCCCAGCTACTCAGGAGGCTGAGGCAGGAGAATCACTTGAACCCGGGAGGTCGAGGTTGCGGTGAGCCGAGATGGCATCATTGCACTCTAGCCTGGGCAACAAGAGCGAAACTCCATCTCAGAAAAAAAAAAAAAGACAACAGAGCAACATCTTTAAAGAGCTGAAGGAAAAAAAGAGCAGTCACCTGGAATTCTACAACCAGCAGAGTAGGTTTCTTGTGCATACAACCCGTGTAGTCACACAGGGCTTTGCACTCAGAAGGACGGGCTTGGTTTAATGCTCTGTTGTTGATGACTTGAAATTCTTAATAATATTTGAACAGAGGGGTCTACATTTTTATTTTGCATTGAGCCCCACAAAGTATGTAGTCAGTCCTGATAACCAGCAAGAATATCTTTCAAACATGAAGGTGAAATAAAGACTTTTTCACATACAAAAGCTGAAAGAATTTTCCCACCAGCAAATCTGCACAAGAATAAGAAGGATTAAAGAAATTCTTTCAGGCAGAAGGAAAATGATACCAGATGAAAATAATGAAGAATATTGGAAATGGTAAATATGTCAGTAAATATGAAACTTTAAAAATATCTTTTACATCACTAATCAGTAAGGAAATGCAAATCAAAACCACAATGATATTTCACTTTATACCCATTAGGATGTCAATTATTTTAAAAAACAAAAACAGAAAATATCAGTGTTCATGAAGATATGGGGAAACTGAAACCCTTGTACACTGTTGATGGAAATGTAAAATGGTGCAGCTGCTGTAGAGAACAGTATGGTCGTTCCAAAAAATTAAATATAGAATTACCATATATGCAAAAATCCCTCTTCTTTTGCAACCCAAAAGCATTGCAAACAGGGACACAAAGAGACATCTGTACATCCATATCTGTTGCAGCATTATTCACAGTGGCAAAAGGTGGAAACAACTGAAATTTCCATTAACAGATGAATGGATTAATAAAATGTTGTATAAACATACAATGGAATATGATTTGGCCTTTTAAAAGGTACATCATTATAAGCCTGAGCAACAAACTGAGACCCCATCTCTACAAAAATATCAAAAAAATTGCTTGTAATCCCAGCCATTTGGGAGGCCAATGTGGGAGGATCGATTGAGCCCAGGAGGTCAAAGCTGCATTGAACCATGATTGTGCCAGTGCACTCCAGCCTGAATGATAGAGTAAGACTATCTCACACACAAAAAAGTACGTAATTACAACACATGCTACAACACGGATGACCCTAAAAGAGATTATGCCAAGTGAAATAGGCTGGAGACAAAACAACAAATATATGATCCCACTTATAAAAGGTGGCTAGAGTAGTCAAATTCATTGAGCCAGAAAGTAGAATAGTGGTTACCAGGAGGTAGGGGAGGGAGAATGGGTAGCTACTGTTTAATGGATACAGAGTTTCAGTTTTGGAAAAAGAGAAAATTTTGGAGATGGATGGTGGTACTTGTTGCATAATAATGTGAATGTACTTAATGCAACTACTGACCTGTACACTTAAAATGGCTAAACTGGTAAATTTGTGGGGGAAGAAGAGTTTATTTAGTTCTTTTTTTTTTTTTTGAGACAGAGTCTCGCTGTGTCACCAGGCTGGAGTGCAGTGGTGTGATCTTGGCTCACTGCAACCTCTGCCTCCCTGGTTCAAGCGATTCTCCTGCCTCAGCCTCCCGAGTAGCTGGGATTACAGGCGCATGCCACCACGCCCAGCTAACTTTTGTATTTTTAACAGAGACAGGGTTTCACCATGTTGGCCAGGATGGTCTCTGTCTCCTGACCTCGTGATCTGCGTGCCTCGGCCTCCAAAAGTGCTGGGATTACAGGCGTGAGCCACTGTGACTGGACTATTTAGTTCTATTTATTCATTTATGCAATGATGGTCTCAGCAGTAGGTAATAAAATATAACCTTATATTTAAAATTCATTTTTCATTTTGAAAGGTTTGGATCTTTGTCTCTTCTTTCTACTTTACTATTTTATTTATTTATTTATTTATTTATTTTTAATGGTGGTGGATCTGAGATCTACCTTACTGTTTTAAATACTTAACTCCAACCAAATAGAAGATAAATAAAAATTGTATTCCCTTACTTTTCTCTAAGGCCATGCTGGTACAACTAGAATTGGCTCTTTAGAATGTAGGTATCATTTATAGTAAGCTGGAGATTTGATCACAGAATGATACATGTAAGAATGTCATAGCACAAAAAAATGCACAGATATTTTTAAAAGGACAAATTTCAGGACACTTTCCATCTGAGTTCATAAGAAAGTCCTCTTGAGTATCCTTCAAAGTTAAAACCCTCTCCCCTTCAGATTAATGAAAATATTAGGATGCATAGAACACAATGGGCACTGGTGATATGGCCCATGGTAGCTGAATTAGATTGAGTATAAATGAAGTCTTCACATAATAGCGAAGAGGCCAACAGAAGAAAGGCCAGAAAGCCACTTGAAACTCATGTCCATGGAAGACCAAATGAAGTTGATTTAACTGTTCCCTTAGAAAGATATTATCCCATTGCTTAGCCCTCAAAGTGCTCATACTGCTACTTTCCTTCTTTATATCACCAGTTCTGGGAGCAAACCTCCTGAAAGAATGGAAGTATAGACTGTAAATACAAGACTGTGGGTACAGCAAAAGGGCTCTGATGCTCTAGTTGTTTGTGTCTAGATACTGTCAAATGTCCCTTGTGATGCACAATTGCCCTTAGCGGAGAACCATTAACCAAAATAAATGAAATAATATGTCATGTTCATGCATCAGAAGACCCAATGTTGTTAAGATATCAATTCTCTATAAGTTGATCTATAGACTCAATGTAACCCCAATCAAATACCCCACTGGCTTTTTGTCTACATTTACAAGTGAATTCTGAAATGTATATGGAAATTCAAAGAACCTAACACAATGAAAACAATTTTGAATAAGAAGAGCAAAGCTCAAGAATTTGACTACGTGATTTCAAAACGTATAAAGCTACTGTAACCAAATCAGTTTGGTATTAGTCTAAAGATGGATAAGGGAGGCTGAGGCAGTAGAATTGCTTGAACCCAGGAGGCGAAGGTTGCCGTGAGCCAAGATCGTGCCACTGCACTCCAGCCTGGGCAACAGAGTTAGACTCCATCTCAAAAAAAGAAAAAGAAAAAAAAAAAGGCAGATAAATAAATCAGTCAAACACAATAGAAACCCAGATACAGACGATTATATATGTGGTCAATTGATTTGAACAAAGGTGCTAAGGCAATTAAATGGAAAAAGGATAGTGCTCTTAACAAACAGTGTTAGAGCAACTGTACATCTACATGCAAAAAAAAAAAAAAGATAAAAAAGAAAAAAAAAACACCTTGATCACAATATACAAAAGTTAACTCAAATGGATCATAAGCCTAAATGTAAAAATGCAAAACTATAAAACTTCTAGAAAAAAATAGAATATTTTTGTAATCTGGATTAAGTAATGATTTCTTAGATATGACATTAAAAGCAGAACCATAAAAGAAAAAACTGATAATGTTTATTTACCACAGCAAAATTTTAAAATGTCTGGTCTTCAAAAGACACTGTTACTAAAATGGAAAGACAATCTGCACAGTGGGAGAAAATATTTGCAAAGAACATATATAATAAAACTTGCATTTAGAATATGAAATGAACCCAATGAACTCAGTGAAACCCAAACAACTCAATGGAAAATGGGCAAAATATTTCAACAGACACTTTACCAAAAATATGTAGATAATAATCAAGCTCATGAAAAAAAAGCTCAATATCATTAATCATTAGGGAAATTTAAGTCAAAAAACCATAATAAGATTTCACACCCACTAGAATGGCTATAATATAAAAGATGTACAGTAACAAGTATTGAGAAGGATGTGGAGAAATGAGAACCTTCATACATTGCTAGTGGGAATGTAAAAGGTACAACCCTTTTGGAAAACGATTTGGCAGTTTCTTTAAAAGCGTGCCTAGTGTTATATACCTCGAGAAATGTGCCCAAGAGAAATGAAAGACATGTGCACAAATAATTATAGCAACTTTATTTGTAATAGCCATAAAACTGGAAACAACTCAAAGAATGGTGAATCAATAACGTGTAGCACATTCATACGATGAAATACTACTCAGCAACAAAAGGAAATGAGCTACTGATACCCACAACAGCATAGATAAGTTTCAAAATAATTATGCTGAGTGAAAGAAGCCAGACAACAACAAAGAGTAGATACTGTATGATTCCATTTATATGAAATTCTAGGAAATGCAAAGTAATATATAATGACAAAAGCAGAGGGGCGGGAAGGAGGAATTTAAAAAGGGCAGAAGGAAACTTTTTGGGATCATGGATAAGTTCGTCATCTTGATTGTGGTGATGATTTCACAGGTATATACATACGTTGAAACTTCAAATTGCACACTTTAAATTTGCCCAGTTTATTGTATGTCAGTTATATCTCAATAAAGCTGTAGAACAGCAACAACAAAGAGATGGCTAGACAAGCATATTACAGTAGTTGAAGTTTGATGTTAGAAATTCACTGAATCTTCTCTGAAGTCATTGTCCTCTGACAGTTGTCTGCAGGTTTCAAGCTATCCACCTACACAGAATGTGCAATCTGCTGGGCTTCAAAAGCACACATTGAGGCAGATGGCCAACAGCTGACAATTCACTTAATTTCTCTTTTTAAATAGTTATATACTTGAAAAAGGATCGAGTTTGAATTAAATCCTCACAGAAAATTTCTATCACAGCATGGGATTCACTTCAATAAAGCATCTTCCCACTGTCATAAATCTGCTTGTGTTCTTTTGGCAAAATTTTCTTCCCACTCAACCTGGCTTTGTTATCTTGTCAAGCCAGACAAAAATTCACCTCCTGTATAAAGCCGTCTCTGATCATCTGCCTTTTTAAATTTTTAAATTTTTTAATTTTTCTTTTTTGAGATGGAGTCTCACTCTGCCACCCAGGTTGGAGTGCAGTGGTGCAATCTCGGCTCACTGCAACCTCCGCCTCCCTGGTTCAAGTGATCCTCCTTCCTCAGCCTTCTGAGTAGCTGGGATGACAGGCGCACCACCACACCCAGCTAATTCTTTGTATTTTCATTAGTGATGGAGTTTTACAATGTCGACCAGACTGATCTCAAACTCCCGACCTCAAGTGATCCACCGGCCTTGGCCTCCCAAACTGCTGGGATTAACAGGCATGAGCCACCGTGACCGGCCTCATCTGCCTTTTAGCACCATAGAGAGGTGCCATTAACCACCTGGTTTATATTGCCAGCATGTAGGGGCTGTAATATGGTACCCCAGCCCCACCTCCCTACCCCATCATTATTTTTTCTTAAAGAAAATAAGCTTGCCACTTAGAATTTAAACTTTACAATTAAGATAAACTGATTTAGAGAATAAATGTAGACACTTGAAACAGTCACAAGGATCCCCAAACCAGATTATAATCTGACTGAAAATATTAGCATATCAGAGATAGAAAAAGAGATGTACCTAAGAAGGGAGGACAATCATCAGTGGACACTTACTGTCCAGGAAAAAAGAACCTATGTGTACACCTTGATGCTCTGAAGCTATCAAATTATTTGAAATTTAGAATCCACTAATTAATTCCTCTTGCTCTAGATTCAAGTTTCAAAAACAACCTTTTGGCTGTAATTTGGCTCTCAAATGTGGCACATATACCAAGAGATATTTTGCTGGGATCATAAAAGAGAGTCTAGTTCCCTAAGATGTTAAAATTCTCATTATAAATTAGTAATTTGTTATTCTGGGTTTATATAGTAGTCCTGTGATTTATCAGTTTAAGAAGCAGACTTGGCTGGGTGAAGTGGCTCATGCCTATAGTCTCAGCACTTTGGGAGGGTGGGGTGGTAGGATTGCTTGAAGCCGGGAGTTTGAGACCAGCCTAGGCAACATAGCAAGACTCCATCTCTACACAAAATAATTTTTTAAAAGTAGCCGGAAATGATGGTACACAACTGTGATCTCAGCTACTTGGGAGGCCAAGGCAAGAGGATCCCTTGAGCCCAGGAGTTGGAGACTGCAGGGAGCTATGATTGCACCACTTCACTCCAACCTAGGCAACACAGTGAGACTCCATCTCTGAAAAAAAAAAAAAAGAAAGAAAGAAAAAGAAAAGAAACAGACTTAACAAGTTAAAGACCAGATTTCAACATATTTTCCAAGATAATGCCACTTTCTATGGCCTGTTAGGGAAGTCAGCTTTCCTTGGAGAGATAGATAGAGAGAGAGAGAGAGAGAGAGAGAGAGAGGTCTACAGTTCATCTTTCTGTTACAGCACTTACTCCATACTCCAGTTACTGAAGCATATTACAGAACTACAGATTCTGAGTTACCTGAGGGTAGTTTTGTATCCAGTTTGTGCTGGCCTCCACCATCATTGCTCAATAAGTAACACTGAACTGAACTGAATTTGGATAACGTGCAAAGCTGCTTTTTTACATTTTTTAGTTGATTGAGAGTTAGAAAATCGTACCAAAAACACCACTCCCCAAGTATAACCTCTAATACGCTAACATTCATTAAACCTCTAACACTATAGCTAAAGTTGTTACATTTTTTAAAGTACGCTAAACTGGGGAATTGATTTTTAAATAAAGGGCAAAGTAGCACTAACCTCAGTCAAGTTGCTGTAAGTGTTTCATTTGGGAATTGTGAAATTTTTTAAAAACATTTCAAGACTTATCATTACATCAACGAAGATGAATATAGGTGTAGTTTGTCAGATGAGTAACTATTAAGGAAACCATGAATGTTTGGTATCTACTTTCACAATTAAACCACAATTTAGAGGATCAAATTCTAACCCTACAAACTTTTTTTTAACCAAAGACAGGAAGAAAAATCATACTCTTGTGATAAGGAGTCATAATTCATTTTAAATTCTGCAGGATTAATGCTGCTTTCCAGATAAGAAGAATTCACCCCGTGTGCGTAAAGTGTTTAAGGAGCCTTGAAATTATAAATACATATTCAGATTAATTTTTTTGTTCTAAGCTTTAAATAAAATTTCAAAGTATTTTATAAAATAATTAACATCCCATAGATATGCTTTTTTAAAAAAGTAATTATGTCTATAAAAGTAATTTGTATAAGGCAATAAAAATTTTACTTTATAAAAAAATCAAACAATGAATACTTTTTGCTTAATTCTTTCTTAGGAGCAGTAATTTCTTATGGGTTCCTTAGAAGACATGTGATTTATTTAAGCTCTATTAACTGAATGTGAGTCTGTTTTCTGACATAAACAGTGGATAGTGTTATGAAAAAATAAAATTGTCAGTGAATAGGCTAAATTTCATAGTTCACAAATATAGCTATCCTGAACATAGAATACAGATCCAATGAACATTTAGTTTTATAATTAGCACTGTTTTAATCCAAATTCCAATTTTATGCATGGGAAACTGAGGCCTAGAGAAATGAAGTAACTTTTTACAGACCCGTTAGCTCAGAGGCTGGAATCACTAGGCCTGGTAGTTTGATTTATGAGTACTACCTTCCATGAGATAAAAAGCTAAAAATGCTGTGATGAGGACATGTTTATTTCTAAAAAGCCTGCAGCACAATCTATCTCTTCTCCCAAAAATCGTATGTATGACAGATTTTTATGTTACTGCTGCTACACGAAGAAAATTGAGCCTAATATGTTCAGTCTTCCAGGCCAAAGCAAAGGATTGATTTTAGAAGGAACTTGTCCTGCATGGCCTCCATCCAGCCATCAGGCAGGGCTCCAGCTCTGCAGGGGAAAAAGAGATAGCCCAGGAAGAGGGAATCACCACCCACCCCACCCTGCGATCTGTATCTAAGAGAAATAACCCTGAAAAGAAGAGCTATAAGAGATGGCAGTGTGTGCTTTCGTCCGGGTGCACTTCCCGATCCTTCATCTTTCATGCCCATCTCTGATGTTTCTATCCTGGTATAGCCTTCTGAGTCATGTGTTCATCTCTCCTTTGGCTCAACCCAACAGACACAGCCTGCAATCTCACCTCCATCAACACAGCAAATGTCTGTGTCTCAAAGACCTCGAGATAGAGCTTCCTATGCTTTAACCCTTCCAGGGGCACACCTTTATTTCTGGGCAACTCAACACTGTCCCTCCTCCTGCCTCCACCACGGGCCCCATTACCTCCCTACCCTTCTCCAAGCAGTAGTCACTCAGCGCCAACCCCTCTCAGGCGTCGGGATCTTCAGTCCGGGGCCCCAGCCCTCCGCGCGGTTCTCCTGCCCAGCGCACCGTGCGTTGCCACCCCCATCGCGTTCCTCAGCCTCCCGGGCTCCAGAGGCAGGAGCTGGCCATGCTCTCACCTCATCCAGGGTGTGGCCGCCGCAGCTGCTTCTTCCTCCTCGGCCGCTGCTGCCCAGCTCCCGGCTGGCTCCGGGCGCCGTCTTTCCCGGCTCGGGGTCTGCCGTGGGGACTGAGGGGTTCGCGTCGCGTCCCCGGACCGGTAAGACGTGTAGTGAGCCCGGCGGGACGCGCGACAGCAGCAGCCAAAGTCGCATCGGCGGCGGCAGCAGGACCCGCTGTCTGTCCCCTTCATGGATTTCCTGGGCCTGGCCACCCCAGTCCTAGCTACGGTTCCTGCTTGTTTTCCTGGTGTCTTCCGGGACTGCCAGGGCGCATCCTCTGGGCCTGGCTGAGCATCCCCGTCAGTTCCCTGGGCCTCCTCCGCGGCTGCCTCTGCCACCTGCTCCGCCCAGATTGCTTTGGTCCTTCTCTCGCAGACACACTCAGCTGCCCTTCATCCTCTGTCGTCTCCCCATTCTCTCTCCACCCACTGCCTCATTCCCAGATCCCACGCCGTTTCTTCCTTTCTATCCGCTCCAATGTCACTTTCTCTTTATTTCCAACCTCAGATAAGTTTCTCCTTTTCTTTCTGTCTCTCTCAATATTTTCCCCGGTTTCATCCTCCTCCCCGCGCCCCCGTATCAGTCATCCTTTTATAATTTATCCAGTTTTTCGTCTCCTATTAGTTCCTCAGAATCACTACTGCAGGTTGTTGGCTAGCCTCTTTTCTTCCTCTCCCTGTTTCTTTCTCTTTCCTAAAATCTTTTCCTTTCAATTTTCCCTTGAGTTTTTCAATTGTAAAAACTTTCTCCCAAACAGCCTACATTTTCCTTTCAGTTGAGACTGATTGCAGTTTTCCATGAACTCATAGTAAAGCATATATAGCTTGGTATCCACCATAAACCAAGAAAGTGTTTTAACCTTTTTTTAAAGTTGGTCAGTTAAATAAATTATCCCATAAATATTCATTCTGAAAATCCAGTTCTTATATCCTACATATGTCCTTGAAAACAGAGACTAGTTTGCTTTTGTATCCAGCAAAGCAAAATGTTTCTGCAACACTATTGCATATAGCATAAGTTCAGCAGGGGAGGGGGAGCAATGTTTGTCTTTGTAGTTGGGCACTGTGGATCTCAAGGTTCATAGGCAACAGCTATTATTGTTGACTGACTGAATGCAGACAAAGCTGAATTCATCTCAGCTCATCCTTCCAAATCTGTTGCTCAGTTCTGTGTTTTAACCCCAGCCCTATCTACCCAGCTGCTCAATCCCCAAACCTAGAATTTGTCAGGGACCTATTTCTCTTTTACCCATCTCATCCAGTCATTAATTCTACTTTTTTACTCTCTCCCTCTCTCTCTCTCTCTATAGATAGATAGATAGATAGATAGATTTTTTTTTTTGAGACGGATTCTCACTCTATCACCCAGCAGGCTGGAGTGCAGTGGCATGATCTTGGCCTACTGCAAGCTCTGCCTCCTGGGTTCAAGCGATTCTCCTGCCTCAATCTCCTGAGCAGCTCGGATTACAGGCACCTGCCACCACGCCTGGCTAATTTTTGTATTTTTAGTAGAGATGGGGTTTCGCCATGTTGGCCAGGCTGGTCTCGAACTGCTGACCTCAAGTGATCCTCCCGTCTCAGCCTCCCAAATTGCTAGGATTACAGGCGTGAGCCACTCACCTGGCCCATTCTTTCTTTTAAGCCTCCTAACTTAAGCTTCATCTTTACCTCTCCTTATCTTTGTCCAATCTGTCTTATCTGGGCTCTTTGTCTAACAACCTCTACCAGAAAATTCTTAATTATCTCTTATTGTTTTGTATCTTCTTCCTCTCCTTTTCCATTAGCTTCATCCCCAGCCCACAAACATGCTTAACTCTCCTCACTCTTAAAACAAAGTCCTTCCGTCTCTACCTATCACCATATCTCTCACTTCCCTTCACATCCAATTTGTTTAATATATTGTGTTCATTTGATGTCCACACTTTCTGACTTCCCAATCATTCTTTACCTCCTAATTTTCTGCAATCAGGCTTCTAATCCTATTGCTTAACTAGAGGTATTCTCCCAGAGGTCCTGGCGAATTTCATGTCAGGCATAGGTAGGCAATGCCAGATCAGTTGCCCCTAGTTTTTCTCCCCGCAACAAACGAATTCAGATCTAAGAAAAAAAAAAAACAAAAAACCTGTGGTATCAAGGCCACCACATTGCAGAGCACTCAACCACCATTTAACCTACATAAATAGCACCTTACCCACTGAAGCCTGCACAACTAAAAACAATGGCCTTGAGTGGTAGGGCTAAACTCTTGGGTTCATGCAGTTTATCCAAACGCAGGCTGAAGAGGAATCCCCATTATATGACTCTAGATTGATAAATTACCTAGTTTTGATTATGGCCTTAGATTTTAGAGATTCAGACTTTGGTTTTGCCCATAGATACGTGGTAGATTTTATCTAACACACAAATTAAAAGGAATAGGGCTCCATAACTTAAAGAGAATAAGCCATCTTTTGTAGTTGTGGCAGATAAACAGTTCAGTGAAGTTACTGCAAACCCACAGCATTCATTACTGCTATGAAGTACTGAGACCTCCAACTCCAGCCAAGATGTAGTAGTATATATCAAACTAAACCTCCCACTTCAGGGGGAAAGTGGGATAAAATATACATAAATATTTACATATTTGTATATATTTATATGTGTGTGTGTGTATATATATATATATATATATATATATATAGTCATGCAATGCATAACCAAGTTTTGATCAAAGACAGACTGCATATGCAACTGGTGGTCATATGCAGTTGCATATGACTTGCTATACATTTTCCAAGTTTAGATGTACAAATACCTACCATTAGGTTAAAATTGCCCACAATATTTAGTACAGTACCATGCTGTACAGGTTTCCAGCCAAGGAGCAATAGGCTGGGTGTGTAGTAGGCTATACCATCTAGGTTTGTGTAAATATATTCTGAATGTTCATACAACAATAAAATTGTCTGATGATGCATTACTCAGAATGTATCCCTGTCATTAAGTAATACATGACTTTATACATATACGGATGGTCCCCAACTTACAATAGTTTGACTTAAATTTTTTTGCCTTTATGATGGTGTGAAAGTGATAAACATTCAGTAGAAACTGTACTTTGAATACCCATACAACCACTCTATTTTTCATTTTCACTACAGTATTCAACAAATTACATAATCAACACTTTATTGTAAAATAGGCTTTGCATTAGATAATTTTGCCCAACTGTAGGCTAACATAAGTGTTCTGAGCACATTTAAGGTAAGGTAAGTTAAGCTATGATGTTTGGTAGGTTAGGTGTATTAAGTGCATTTTTGACTTACAATATTTTCAACTTAGGTTTATTGGGATATAACCCCATCATAAGCCTAGGAGTATCTATATATCTATATCTATAATTCTTTGGAGGCATTGAAGAGTAACTAAAGCAGGTGGAACTTAAAGCTATGATCCTGGAGAGAAGGCACATGAGGTGAACTCAGTGTTTACCCTGGAATATTTCTCCTGAGGGAATGCTCAAAACTAAGTGCAAGACAATAAAAGCCAAAAAAAAAAAAATACAGCAGTTTTTCTGGGCTGAGGAATAAGAGGCTGTATTAGTCTGTTCTCACACTGCCATAAAGAACTACCTGAGATTGGATAATTTATGAAGAAAAGAGATTTAATTGACTCACAGTTCTTCAGGTTTAACAGGAAGAATGACTGGGAGGCCTCAGGAAACTTACAAGCATGGTGGAAGGTGAAGGGGAAGCAAGCACGTTTTACCATGGTGGAGCAGGAAAAAGAGAGTGAGGCGGGAAGTGCCACACACTTTGAAACCATCAGGTCTCATGAGAACTCACTCTCACTATCATGAGAATAGCCTGGGGGAAATCTGCCCCCATGATCCAATCACCTAATACCAGGTCTCTCCCCCAGCAGTGGGAATTACAATACAGCATGAGATTTGGGTGGGAACACAGAGCCAAATCATATCAAAGGCCAAAGTTGAGGGCTACCAAAGTGCCTCTGATTGAGGGCAAACTCCAAGAGGGGAGAATTGCAGAGGAGCTCAACAATCTATGCAAATTGCCATCATGATAGTGATCTAAGTTCCTACACTCAGCATGCACAAAGAAAGATGCCAAAAAAAAAAAAAAAATCAGAAAACAGCAGTTTAGGGTCTAATGAGGTAAGTGAAGATTTCAGCATCCAATAGAAGTTGGACTTCAAGCCTTGATAAGGTACCTAGATACCCAGGGTTTTCAGTTGAGATCTCAGCACATCCTTGGAGTAAGAGCAATATAATACTGAAATAAAATAGATCTAACAAAGCTTGAAACCAAGCCTTTTCAGGATCAAAGTTATCTGCCACTATTCTTTCTACTTTCCAGGAGTAGAAAGTAGAAACTCTATGGAGGTAGGTAACATTATCCAGAGTCTACAATTTTGTCTTATACAATATCTGGGATCCAATACAAAATAATTATGAGCCATGCAAAAGATCAAATCCAAATGACTAAACACTAAGAGAGCTTGAGCATACACCAAAAAATTTAGATATAAAGTGACGGGAAATTTGAAGCCATTGTAGAAGATACGAATTGGAGATGGAACTACCCAAAATTACCATCTATAAGGATCTTCTAGATTAAATGCAAGCTAACTTATTCTTAAAATTGTTTTGTTCATATGATATGAACAGAGTCTATATCAGAACCTGGAACATGACAGGCACTAAATAAATATTTTATGAATATTGAATTAGTTGTTCTAACAACATCGTGGAGAATAGCTTGAGAAGGGTAAAGGCTAGAATCAGAAAAAGCGGCTAGGAAGACTTTAAAGACTGTCTAGACATAGGTTGATGGGTGGATTAGCCTAGTGGATACAGAGATTCAGAAAATATGAATCTAAGAAATATTGGGAGGAACTTCCATTTTTTCCCATGTCAGTAAGCACATGGACATTCACCAAAGTCCAAATCAGAAATGTGGGGTCATCCTTGACTCTTCTCTTTCTCTTGCTCCTCATATTTGGTCACTCTCTGAATCCTAAATATCGCTACCCTGCCTTCTCCTGCTATTCACACTGCTTTAGTTCAAGCCCCACCACGTCCCTCCAGGACTTTGTTATAGCTTCCTTAAATGGTCTCCCTGCCCTGGGTTCTTCCCCATTAAGCTTTTCTTCCAAAATTGAAAATTCAGTGTTTTTCCTTTTTTGTGTGAAACCATGAAATGGCTCCTGATTTACCTTCTAAGCTTCAGCATACCTAAGCTTCATGGTAGGGCTGCTCCTTACCAGGCCTTGTGTCATCTGGCACTTGCTTTGCATGCCAGTGCATTCTTCTGCTCCTTACTTGGTGGTTCTTAAACCAGACCAACACTAAACAACTGGTAACCCCTGCCCCAAGGGTTTGCCATGCTATTTCATGCCTCTGTGCCTTTGCTTATGCTATTCCTTCTGCCTGAAATGCTCTCACTCCCAACACCCTGGCTGCTTTTCCATCTGTATTCATTTCCTGTTGCTGCTATAACAAACTATCACAAACTTACTCTTTTTGAGGTCAGAAGTCTGAAATGAGGCTATTTCATGAGGCTAAAATTAAAGCATTGGCAGACCTTCATACCTCCTGGAGCTGGAGGAGAGATACTGTTCTTTGCCTCTTCCAGCTTCTAACCACAGTTTTTGTTTTTTTTGTTTGTTTTTGGTTTTGGCTGATGGTCCCTCATTGTCACATCTCTTTCTCTGACACTCCTGCCTCCTTTTTCTATAGGGACCCCTGTGATTACATCAGGTTCGTCTGAATAATCTAATCTTCCCATCTTCCTTAAACGTAGTCATATCTGCAAAGTCCTCATTGACATGTACGGTAACATTTACAAGTTTGGGATGTGGATATCTCTGAGAAGCCATTATTCTGCTTACTGCACCACCCAACCCCAATTAATCTCTTAAAGCTCTGCTATCACTTTTTCTCTGAAACATGTTCTGCTCAGAGCTAATCACTCTCTATTTTGTGTCATATACATACTACCTTCACTGCATGGGTTGGCTTGTATTGCACATAATAACTTTTAAAACACATCTACCTCTCTATTATATTTTGATTTCTTGAGGGGACAGCTTATTTATCTTTGTATTACCAGCAGTAAGCATGTTACATGGTATATAGCAAGTAGTAGGAGCTAAATTGTACTTTTTAAAAATGAATGTCCCAGGCAGTGCAATGATCCATTTGAATGTTAACTAGACATGTAGGTTTAAATGGTGACTACAGTTGCGGTGCATTCCTAACTTTGCAGGGTCGTTGCCTACCACTCTCCCTGCCCACGCTTGTCTGCTTCCCCTCCAGTCACATGGCCTTTCTAACCTTCCTTGGTCATGCTGTTCCTGTCCCATCCTCATCTCTCTGTCTGTAATGCCCTTCCTCCAACTTTTCTTTTCATAAATCCCTAATTCATTCTCAAAGCACAAATCAAAACTTTTTCCTTCTGCAATGCCTTTTATTTTTCTCAAGACAGAATTCATCACTTCCTCTTTTGAGTTGCTAAGACATTTTGTACAGATCTGTATTACATATTTCACATTGTGTTTTGCTTGGTTTTATATATATATCTGTTCCATCACAAGAATGCACAAAAGCCATATCTTGTTTATATCAGTACTAGGCATGTAGCAAGCACTCAATAATGTTTATGACCTTAAAGCGAACATATAAACAGATGAGAATGGAGGGGCAACAGAAAGGAACCAAAAGATTAAAAGAGTGCCTTTGATAAAAGATAAAGAGGAAGGAAGAGACTGAGAAGACCCTCAAAGACAGCATTCAGAAGACCCTAGAGGCAGAGTGTGATGAAGGCTGGAGTTAGAGTGGCTGACCTCTAATTAAAGAGGAGAATGTGAGAGGCAGAACCACATGCAGTGAGCTGCAGGCCTGAGAAAGAGAAAGGCTGTTGGATGTGACCACGAAGAGATCCTAATGGTTTTAGGAAGCATAATGAGAATGCCCAGTCAGGACCCTGGGTCTGCTCCTGTTTTTAGGTTAGGAGAGATTAGGTTAGGTTAGGATCTCCAGAGGATAAATGACTTGAGGAAAAGGAATATCACACCTCATATCCGATCAACCTGCTTGAATGCTTGAGGCCATGAACACCTCAGCACAGCTCCAAGTCAGTTTGGAAGGCTTGGTTCTTTCATCTGATACCACGACTTCAAAGTACTAGGAGATGTAGATGGTTCTCAGGGAATACAGAAGCCAACATAATGTATTCCCCTATAATAATCAGAGATTTTCATCAATAGGGCACAGTTGGCTGGGTGGTCCAGGCTCCTGAGGAACAAAGGCAAAATGTCTAAATCTGGCTTCAGAACTGAGAATAATTTCTCTTTCACGGAACTTTTCTGGATGATGATATTTCTCTATATAAAGCATTCTCTGACCCAGTGGACAAATATTTCTCACATCTCTGCCTGCCTTGAACCTTGCCCTCCTATCTTCCATCAACACTGCTGTCAGCTGTATTCTCCCACCTGTGTCTTGTTTGGCTAACCTGTATGGCCAACTGTCTGTCTTTACCTTTACAAAGCCTGATCTAGACAAACTTCTATGCCGGACATCTGCACTGATTTTTGCCCAAATCAATTGTCTAGCATCTATTTCTGTGATCTGCTTCTGCTGTGTCCTGAATCAGTCTGCTGTGGTCTGATAGGTTGCACATTCTCAATGGGAGTGAGAATTGATCTTGGGGGATAAAAAACAACTTAATTTTTTAAATGTACAAAGTGCAGATATACATACAATGCATAAACTGATATCACAATATATCTGCGTGTATTAGGGCTCTCCAGAGAAACAGAACTGATAGCATATATTATATATAGATACACAGAAATAGATTTATTACGAGAGATTGGCTCATGCAATTATGGAACCTGTGAAGTCCCATGATCAGCTGTCTGCAAATTGGAAGCCCAGGAAAGTTAGTGGTGTATTATGACTCCAGTCCAAGCCAGAAGGCCTGAGAACCAGGAGAGCCAATCCTGTAAGTCCCAGTCCAAGTCCAAAGGCCCCAAAACCAGAAACACTACTGATATCCAAGGGCAGGAGGAGATGGATGTCCCAGCTCCAGAAGAGAGAGTGAACTTGTGCTTCCTCCACCTCTCTGTTTTATTCAGGCCTTCAAGGGATTGCATGATGCCCACTCACACTGCCAAGGGTGATCTTTTACTCACTCTACCAATTCAAATGCTAACCTTTTCCAAGAACACCCTCCCAGACACACCCACAAATAATGTTTTACCAGTGATCTCAGCAATCCGTAGCCCGCTAAAGTTGACACACAAAATTAACCATCACACTATGGTACCAAAATTTGATAGAGGAGAGCAATTTTTAAAAACATCTGAAAAGCCTCCTTAGGAAGGCAATAATGAAAAGAAAAGGGTTGAGAAATATTGTGATAGGTGATGAGGCTGCAATTCCTGTAACAGAAGGAACATAAGGAGAATGGATTGTGAGGAAATGGAGGTAGTCACAGTTATTTGACTGAGAAGTAGACTACAGAGAGAATTCCGATGAAGCAAACAAATTATGAGCACTTATTATGTGCCATGAACTGTGTGAAACCCTTTCACATTTGTTAGCAAAGAGCTTCTCCTTTAGTAGTAATGTACATATTCCTTGCAGAAAAAACAGTGACATTTTCCATTGAGACAGTAGCGCACCTATCTCTCCTCTGCTTCAGCAGCCTTTATGCTAATTACTGTTTTGGAAGTAACTCCTCATTCACTTTTTGCAACATAAGATAATGAGAAATACAGCCCAGATTTTGTTTGTAGAAGCTCCTTTCATGGCAGCCTTTCAACAGTTTGGGTAATTTAAAAGATGCAGTTGTAATCGTGACTAACTCATTAAGATGCTTGATGAGCATCTTAATGAGTTAAAAAACCTGGACATTTTTAACACACTTTTGGAAAGAGGCAAGAAAAATATAAGAGTGGGAATAATCCAAGGAAAACATTTCAAGTCTTTGAACAATAGACCCTAGAATTTCCTTAGCTTGAGATAGGTTAGGACAAGAAAACAGAATGTTGCTTAAAAGAAGCCCAGTGATCATTTGTGTCTACTTGCACTTCTGGAATATGACTTTTGTTTGTTAGTTGGTTCATTTTGACTTAAAAAGTGTTTTTCAGCCAGGTGCGGTGGCTCACACCTGTAATACCAGCACTTTGGGAGGCCGAGGTGGGCAGATCACAAGGTCAGGAGATCGAGACCATCCTGGCTAACATGGTGAAACCCCGCCTCTATTGAAAATACAAAAAATTAGCCAGGTGTGTTGACGGGCGCCTGTAGTCCCAGCTACTCGGGAGGCTGAGGCAGGAGAATGGCATGAACCTGGGAGGCGGAGCTTGCAGTGAGCCGAGATTGCTCCACTGCACTCCAACCTGGGCGACAGGGGGAGACTCTGTCTCAGAAAACAACAACAACAACAACAACAACAAAACCCACAACATTTTTCTTTGTTCTCTCTCAGTACTCATTAAGAATTTACTACTGCGTCTTTAGATTTTATCTCAGGCAGATCAATGCTATGTATTTGTCCCCTGTACTTGATCCCTGTGCTTTCCTTCTCTCCTACTTTCCTACTCTTGTCATGAGTGCTGAGGCAGGGATGATGTTGGGGTGGAAAGCTGAAGGGCGAAGATGAATGAGCCACAGTGTCCACTTAGAATCTACAGCCAACTCTTGGCAGCTTATCCGTGGTAATTCTTGTTTCAGCTTCTTGTTGACTTTATCACCCACTCAATGTGCTTAACTCTATGATGGATGTTATCACCATCTCTGTTTATTCACAATGCCAAGAACACCAGTGGAACAGGGAAATATTCAGGAAAACCCACTTTATGGTGTCAACTTGACCAGAAAACAAAACACAACTCCATCATTGCTTTATTGAATTTGGCATCATTCTAGAAATAAACTATCATTTATATTTTGTCAAACAAAAAGAAGAGGAGAAGAGATTTCAAAAGCACTGCTTCTGGGGAGGGTCTGGATCAAAGGTAAATGTGTGACTTTAGGTGACAGAAAAGCATCTCCACTCAGATGCATCCAATTTTGAGGGGGCACTGACTACAGGACAGTAGAGACAAGGGACACTCATGAACAAGCAGCTTTTCCAATTCTGGGTCCTTTTCAAACTGTAGTATCAACATATATTTTTAAGTTTCATAAATTCTTGGAACATTAAACATATCCATTCAAACAGTTCTTTCAATATGGTGGATATTTGTAAGCTGCCCTGGAAATCAGAACACCTTGAATTTAATTCCTGCTATGACATTGGCTGACTCTGTAACTTTCACCTTTTTTAGTTCTCCAAGATGATATAAATAATGGAAAACATATAGGACTCTAAAATGGTTGCAACATAGGTTCAAATCTGACCCCTACCACTTGTTAGCTTGTCAACATTGGATAAGTTATTTGACTTCTTTGAGCATCAGTATCTTTATTTGTTAAATGGAGATAAAGATATCTTTCTTGCAGGAATGTTGTATGGATCTAATGAGATCATGTATGCAAAACACCCAACACATAGTTGTCACTTTATAAATGGCTGTTCTAGTAGCCATTTGCACAGAGATGGGGAAAGGCTAGGTGACAAAAGGCATGGGCATTCTGAGCTCATCAGTTGATAGGGCTTCCTTAACGTCATAGCTTTATTAGAGAAGGAGGAGGATACAGCCCAGCCACATAGGAACTCAGGCCTGTTTTATTTCCGCAGGATCTGGTCACCA
This sequence comes from Homo sapiens, assembly GCF_000001405.40. Classification (NCBI taxonomy): domain Eukaryota; kingdom Metazoa; phylum Chordata; class Mammalia; order Primates; family Hominidae; genus Homo; species Homo sapiens. The sequence goes on from NW_025791753.1 coordinate 322,355, forward strand.
CAACAATCAGAATGTGCAGGGGTAAGACTAAGGAAGAGAGAGAGAGAGGAAGAATGGATGGTGGGGGGGGGCGGCTCTCTTCTTCCTGACGGCAGAGAATCCCCCAGTATTCCTTCAGTTGCAGAAACTAAATGGAAGGCAAATGGCTGTCTGCTTGTGGTGCATGCACCAAGACAAACTACTAAAGTGTTTCCTGCCCAGTCCCCACAGGTGTTGCTTCTCAGCTTTGGATAAGTCCTCCAGCAAGTACCTTGTTGAAAGCGAGAAAGGCAGCTGCATAACTCTCCAGTCCACAGAGCTAACAAATCACTGTGTCATCAAAGAAGAGGGAATCATGGGAAATAGCCTGTGGTTCACCCTCTAAGGCAGGGAGTCAGGAGGCTGTGAGGTGGCACATTTGATTCTTGCTCATTAACATAGTTTCTCTTTGTGTCCTCCTCCTCCTCTTTGCCTGCTTGCCTGTTCCACTGGGTAAGCAGCAAGTGCCTATTCAAATCATTATTTATCAAATGTGTACTATGTTCCCAACATTCATTCAATACACCTATATTGAAAGCCTTTTATGAGAATAACAAAAATAACAAGATAGATTCAGAGTAAGATTCAGAGACTGAAGCAAGTCCCCATATAGTAATCACATGTTCAACTAGTTGTTAAGTGGTATATATAATACATAGAAACCAACCGTGGAGGACCTCAGGGAAAGGAGCCAGGAAGCTGAGGAAGGCTTTGGAGAGAAGATGACATTGGAGCTAGGCCTTCACCCAAAATTCCATAGGTGTTGGTCCATTTTGCATTGCTATAAAGGAATACCTGAGACTGGGTAATTTAAGGGGAAAAGGGGTTTATTTTGGCCAGGACTGGTGGCTCACATCTATTATCCCAGAACTTTGGGAGGCTGAAGCGGGTGGATCACTTGAGGTCAGGAGTTTGAGACCAGCCTCCCCAACATGGCAAGAGCCTGTCTCTACTAAACATAGAAAAATTAGCTGGGTGTGGTGGCACAAGCCTGTAATCCCACTTACCCAGGAGGCTGAGGGATGAGAATTGTTTGAACCTGGGAGGCAGAGGTTGCAGTGAGCGGAGCTTGCACCAGGGCACTCCAGACTGGGAAACAGAGCAAGAATTTGTCACGAAAAAAAAGAAAAAAAGAAAAAAAGAGGTATGTTTGGCTCACAGTTCTGCAGGCTGTAGGTGAAGCAGAGTGCTGGCATCTGCTTCTGGTGAGGGCCTTGGGAAGCTTACATTCATGCTGGAAGGCAAAGGGGAGCCAGTGTGTCATATGGCAAGAGACGGAGCAAGACGGGGGGGGGGGTGTCAGGCTCCTTGTAAACAACCAGGTCTACTGTGAAATAAAAGAGTGAGAACTTGCTTATCACCAAGGGGATGGCGCTAAGCCATCCATGAGGGATCTGCCCTCAAGATCCAACACCTCCCATTGGGCCCCACTTCCAACATTGGGGATCACATTTCAACATGAGATTTGGAGGGGACACACATCCAAACCATATATCACTATGGGTCCACTATATCACTATGGATCCAGGGGAGGATGGGATAGGGGAGGGGAGGCAGCAAGGGCATTATAGGCAAAGGGAAGTGCACATATGAAGGTGAAGAGGACATGAGCCCCCAGCATGTCTGGGGACTGGCTGGTAGCTTGATGTGCCTGGAACAAAGGCTATGCAATCCTGGGCAGCAGCAGGGGGAGAGGTAAATGTGGTCAGAATGCCAACGATTTTCCATGCCATCTGTCCAGTTTGGGCTGTAACTGTAGAGAATGGGGAGCCATTGGTGAGTTTTAAGTATGAAGTGATGGGTTTATACTTGTATTTTGGACAATCCTGTGGGCTTCAGAGTACTGAATGGACTAAAAGAGAGGCTAAAAGCTGGGAGACAGTTAAGAGCTCACTGAAATTGCCAATGATGTCAAATGCTGCAAACTCATCAAGGAAAATGAAGACTGAGAATGAGTTCATTGCATTTGACAGTTGGAGATCTTTGGTGACATCTAAAAGTAATTTCACTATAACGACTGAAGCAGAAGCTGGATTACTAAGCCAGTGGTTCTCAAAGTGTGGTCCCTAGATCAGCAGCACTGGCATCACTTGAGAATGTTATAAATGTAAATTATCTGGCTCAACCCACATCCCTTTCAAAACTTTGGGAATGAAGCCTAGCAATTGGCATTTTTACAAGTCTTCTGGATGATTCTGATAAATGCTAAAGTTTGAGAACAACTAGCCTAAATGACTCTTCATCTCTTCCCCAGATGTTCCTTACTCTGATGACACCTGAATTATTTGATATTTCCTAAGTAATCATTAATATGGTTTCTCAGTTATCTGCATAAATTGTTCCTGTCAGTCATGTGCAATATATGTACAGTCTCTGCCTGGTAATATTGAACTCATTGTTCAAGGCCTAACTCAAATGTCACCTCCCTAGGAAGTCTCTCCAATTTCCTCCAGGCAGCCCCCCATGGATACTTGTGCACATATTTATGTCATAAAATGTATTTTATTTGTTGTGTTGATTTGGTTTACTATCTTCCCTACTAACTAGAAGCTCTTCGGGAGTAGGGACTGCTTTATCGATCTCTATTTCCATATTGTTTTTACATCTTAAGTGCTCAATAAATGTAAGAAGAGGAAGCTGTAATAAATTGCAGAAATAAAAACAGCAAGGGACAAACCACTGTTTTAAGAGGTTTGGAAGTGAAAGATGAATTTGAAATAGAAATACAATAGAAAATGTGTGTGTGTGTGTGTGTGTGTGTGTGTGTGTGTGTGTGTGTGTGTGTCTGGAAGAAAACTGTTGGCTGAGGGATTAAGCCAGTAGAGAGGGAAAGATGAATGATGAGACAGTGGGAATCAGTGGGTATTGAATGCAAAATGGTCCTGGAGAAGGCAGAAGGGAATTAAATCAATGGCCAATGCTGAAGAATTAGCATTGAAAGAAGGAAAGACTCTTTTTTTCTGAGATACAACACAAGGAAGTAAAGGTGGGTACATAAGTGATGAGTTGTGAGGTTGAGATGGGAGATGGTAGGGAGTCCTTAGATGGCCTGTCAGTGTAGAAATGGTGAGGGCTAGGGAAGGTTTTGCAGGGGAGGTGATATTTGAACTAGGAGATGTCTTTAGTGAAGTAGGAAGTGAAGCCTTTTGCTGGGAAGAAAATGGGGAACAGAAAGAAGGAAAGAGGTTACAGCAGAGAGGTGAAGACTTGTAAATGCTAGGGAGGGGATTGGAGAACAACAGCAGGGGATTCTTTTGGGCTGATCCATCTCCCTGATTCAAGACAAAGAAAGAGTCCACTTATTCATCCAATTGTGATTGGCAATAAAAGAAGTATGGAGGGATTGTCCCCAAAGGCTGTCTTTGAAATAAGATGGACAACTTCTGGATACAGATCCCAATACTAATATAGAAAGTATTCTAGCTCTATATATTAATTAAGGCTGGAATATTTTGCAGACAATAACAATGCTATGTATGGCAACTATGTACAACAAAGGAAAATATTTATGGTATATGAATTGCCTAAGAAATCTGGATAAAAACTATATGTATGTCGGCCAGGTATGGTGGCTCATGCCTGTAATCCCAGCACTTTGGGAGGCCAAGGCAGGTGGATCACCTAAGGTCAGGAGTTCGAGACCAGCCTGGTCAACATGGTGAAACCCTGTCTCTACTAAAAATACAAAAATTAGCCAGGCATAGTCACGTGCGCCTGTAATCCCAGTTACTAGGGAGGCTGAGGCAGGAGAGTCACTTGAACCTGGGAGGTGGGGGTTGCAGTGAGCCGAGATCGCACCACTGCACTCCAGCCTGGGCGACAGAGCAAGACTCCATCTTAAAAAAACAAAACAAAACAAAACAAAACAAAACTATATGTATGTCTTGATTACAACTCTGTAAGAACATACATATGAAGAACAAATGAATAAAACACATGAAAATGCTATTAGTGGTGGTATTATAGGTCATTTTTCCTTTAAATTTTAAATTGATGTTTTAATGTTTATAATTAGTTGGCAATAAATAGAATTTTTTTTCCTTGCTGGCTTTAAAAAATTTACTAGGAACACTTAGAAGAGAGTATTTCAAAATAAAAAGTTGTAAGGTGAAAACAATCAGTAGAATTGTATGAACACCTCCCATATAAGGGGCAGATGCCAGGAAAAGAAGTCCTTAAGTTGAACCAGAGTTGGAAGCTGACAAGCAAGAGGTTGGATGCCACGATATAGAAGAGCACAAAAGAGGTATATGACCTAGCCCTTGACTCACAGTAAACTTGAGAGACTAGGCTTACAATAAATGATTCGAGGATAACTTATTCAGTTATCTAAACAACGGATGGGACTGGATCACTGAGGCAGTGACCTGTGGGCAGGCGGGACAATGCAGAGGTCAATTATGTGCCATCGGAGTTGATCAGATGGACCTGGGCTTAAATCCCTGTGCCACTGCTTAGCAGCTGTGTGATCTAAGACAACTTACTCAGGTTTCATTTTCTGCACTGTAAAGTAGAAATAATAATACCTACTCATAAGCTGTTGAAGCATTACAAACAATAAAGCAGGTAAAGTGCTTAATACAATGTTTGACACACAAAATTGCCATTATCGTTATTAACGTTTTATTGTTGCGTCATCTATGAGTATTTATGATGGAGGAAACTGATTTAGACTAGGGGCACATTGAATTCTTTGGAGGGACTTCAGGGAGGTATCTTAAGAGCCGTGAGAGAGTCTCAGGGGGCAGTGAAGACTCCCTCACTGCTGGAACAATGCTGTGGGCTCACCCTAGGCCTTCAGGAGGGGAGAGAGATGTGCAAGGAGGAACTCCATGGTGGTTCTTCTTTTGCTAGTGTTTGTGCTACTTCCCCACTTCTAAACAGGTGCATAGTACTCCAGAGCACCCTTTCATCTTCCTTTCCCACTCTTCTGTTCTGTTTTTCTTCTCTTCAACTCTTCTTATTTCCCTTTTCTCCTCAAAACCAAGTGGTGGATGGGTAAGGAACTATACTATCTTTTGTGTGTTCTAACTTTGCCGTTTTTTTTTTTGTTTGTTTGTTTTTTTAATCTTAAAGGTTGTCTTCTAACTTCAGCACTCAGAGTTTACATAAGTAAGCCTGGGTTTACCCTACCCACTTCTTCCCTTATTTTTAAAATATCTATTTCCCCAACCATTGTCTTTAGTAAGTACTCTAAAATGACAGTCATCAGCAGAAACGCAAGGATTCCAGGCCATAAGAGTTTGATCAAGAAAGGATTTTTTGAGGTAGCTATATCTTGCAAAAGAAACAGAGGTGTGAACTGTCTGCAGGGCTCTTCTCGGCAATGAGGTGTTCCTTCTGGATTCAGATATAGATCTTAATGGGGTAAACATTCTAGGTCTTACCACCATCTGTTCTTCTTTTTCTGCTTAGACTGTTAGTACCTGTTATAAGAGGAAAGGAGGCAAAAGTGTGAAAGAAAAATGGTTGGATCAGTGGTCTGAGAAAGAGGATAAAGTAGTCATGTGACATTATTCTTAACAGAGATTAGAATGATTAAAAACAAAAACAAGTTGGTATCCAGGATATTCAGGTACAACCACCCCTCACCTGCTGATTCCAATTTCACATTCCATTCCACATTGATGAATAATAATAATGATGTACTTTTAGCTTTGTCAGAAATCCTATCTGCATATTTATAAGGTCATTATGTTTAGTTGTTGCTGATACCTGGTCTGAGTCCAGCAATTACCACCTCTGTCTCTTTGCACACACTGGTAGACATACACACCACTGATTTGTACTTTCCTATAAAATTACTCTTCCCCTTTTTAATTAGAGTGTTTTCAGAAGCAAAACCTATCGTTAAGGCCATGTATGCTTCCATTATAAATACCTGTTTCCAGCCATTAATTATCTCCCAATGAATTACTTACTTAGAAGGAGATTTTTAATGCATTTTTTTTTTTTTTTTTTTTGGAGACAGGGTCTCACTTTGTCACCCAGACTGGAGTGGTGGAGTGGTGTGATCATGGCTTACTGCAGTCTTGACTTCTCAGGCACAGGTGATTCTTCCACCTCAGACTCCTGAGTGGCTGGGACCATAGGCGTGCACCACCATGCCCAGCTAATTTTTGTATTTTTTGTAGAGTTAGGGTTTCAACATGTTGCCCAGGCTGGTCTTGAACTCCTAGCCTCAAGCAATCCTCCCGTCTTGGCCTCCCAAAGTGCTGGGATTACAGGTGTGAATCATTGTGCCTGGCCTGTGCACACTTTTTATAATGGGATTTCTCTTCCTTACTTTTGATGTCCCCTCTCTCATACTTAGTTAACCATTTTGAATTCCACTTAGTAAGAAAAGTTTCCATTTTCTTTTTCTTCAGGGGACTTAGATATGATCTGCACCTAGATGGTAAGAAGATTTTCCATATTTTGAAGTAGAAACTTTCTGTATGCCTGAATCTTGCTGTCAAGAATGTCTTGGCTAATCATGAAGGAAGAATATAAGAATGTGAGTAAAAACAATTCAACAGTCCCTGAGAACAACGCCAATAAATATTCAAAATTGCATAACCATTTTAGTGACTAAAGCACTGAGACTCATCCAATAATACTGTGGTTTGATAATTACACAGTTGTGAATTTATGATACTGTTAAATTGGGGAGACATCTTGATGCATACAGGTCAACCCTTTCATACATCATTATATACAAAAAGTACACACCTACTTAGGAATTGAAGTGTAATACCTCCTAGCATAAAATGCTTAAAAGAAGATTTTAAGGGAGTGATACAGTGAGCATTCCTATATGAATTTTCCTGCTTATCTGAAGCATAGCAGAAGATGTGAAATTTCTAGGTAAGTTTTTTTTTTTTTTTTTTGACAGGGTCTTGCTCTGTCACCCGAGCTGAAATGCAGCAGTGGTAACATGGTTCACTGCAGCCTCAACCTCCTGGGATCAAGTGGTCCTCCCACCTCAGCCTCCCGAGTAGCTGGGACTAGAGACATGCATCATCATGCCCAGTTAGTTTTTTAATTTTTTGTAGAGACAGGGTCTCACTCTGTGGCCCAGGCTGGTCTTGAACTCCTGGGCTCAAGCCATCCTTCTGCCTTGGACTCCCAAAGTGTTGGGATTACAGGTGTGGGCCACTGTGTCCTTCCTTAACATCAATAAAATTGAGATAATCACATTCATAAAAGGGAAAAACTATGTCAACAAGCCCACTGTATTAGTCTGTCTTCACAGTGCTGTAAAGAACTGCCCAAGACTGGGTAATTTATAAAGGAAACAGGTTAACTGACTCACAGTTTAGCATGGCTGGGAAGGCCTCAGGAAACTTAACAATCATGGCAGAAGGCAAAGGGGAAGCAAGGTACCTTCTTCATAAGGCAGCATGAAGGAAAATTAATGCAGGAGGAACTACCAAACACATAAAACCATCAGATCTCGTGAACTCACTCATTATCAGGAGAACAGCATGGGAGAAACCGCCCCCATGATTCAATTACCTCCACCTGGTCTCTCCCTTGACACATGGGGATTACAATTCAAAATAAGATATTGGGTGGGGACACAGGCAAACTATATCGCCCATATTACAATTACTTACATTACTGATTCCCTTAATTAGAGCAGAGGTAATTAATTGGGTCCAGGCTCAGTGGAAGGGTCTGGCTGGTTCTTAATTCTCAGAGCTAGTTTGAATCTTGAGGTTAACTTCTTGCCTTCTAGAACTTGTCCTGTGTTTGGCTGAACTCTGTGAACCTTTCAGAAAGTAGGTCTTTATTGAGCACATACTCTGTGCAAGGCAAAGAACCAACTACTGTGGAGTTTACAAACATGAATAAGGGGTAAGAAATGACTCTTGTCACATGGCTTACAGTCCAGCTGTGTGGGCCACCACAGTTCATATCTTTCAGGATGGGGACTGGATGAGGGGAAAGTGGACTCAAAATTAATCCCAGTGCTCTCTACTTTCCCATATCCCTGTGCTTTATCTCTGTTGTAGTTATGTTATTTGTATGTTGGCCTGCCTCACTGCTCTGTGATCTCCAAAGAACAGGGACTGGGTTTTATTTATTTCTGCATTGCCGCAGAGCCTAGTATGTGCTTTGTAGAGAACAGGCTCTCAAAAAAATTTTAAATTAAAAGAATGTATTCACTTGTTTATGTTTCCTAGTTACAGTGGGTCAGCTTGTTCTGTGCTAACATGGAAGTGACAAGAAGCTGGTGTCCCTCTACACAGAGGTCCCCACACTAAATATCATCTTGGATGTGCTTCACATTGTTGCACAAAGGTACAGTGGAGTGAGACTGAGTAAGAGGACAGAAATAGTGGGGGGTTTGTCTCAGCTCACTAATTACTTATTTAACCTTGGGCAAGATACTTAAAGCTCTATCTCAGTTTCTTCATCTGCAAAATGGGTATAATAATGACTGGGGTGCCTATTTCCCACGATTGTTTTGAGGATCAAATGAGATAATATAATTAAAAGTGTTTTTGGAAGGTCTAAATCACTGCGCAACTGCAAGGCATTATTAAAAGAAATCTTCCTTTTAATTCCTGCTTCCACAAACATCTCATCACATATCCTTGGGTTCCTGGGTTACATGGAGAGATTCGTGGTGTAGCTCAATCTATGTGTCATAGCTATCCCACAATCTCTTCTTCAACTTCTCCAACACACCAAGACATTCTTCCAGTCTTGCATTGCTCCCCAGTTTATATAGATATATATGTTCCTCATTCAGCATTTATGTAAAACATATATTATTGAGCACTTATGTGATAGAAACCGAGGCAAAACAGAAAATAAAACAGAGTTTTATTTTGAGAGTTTTTTTACAGCTTATCGGCTCTGAGAGGACAGACATGAGAACAAATAAGTGCCCAATTCTGCATTTATTTTGGAAGGCAGTTTTATGTGAGTTTAAATCAGTAAAGACATAGATGTATATTTTTAGTTTTGATTAAAACTAAAACAATTGGTAGCCCTTATTCATATTTTTCTATCATTAAAACTTATCTTTAAAAAATGTCTTCAGTCATATTTTTCCCTTACTTCCATTCATATTTACTCTTTACTTCTCTTGTCCTTACCAGAATGTATGCAGTAAGTTTTCATATTGTAACACATTCAACAAAAGTTATATGTGAACATAATAGCTGCTTTCTTTAAAACGGTTACTTTGAGAAACTGAATACCTATTTTTTTTTTTTTTTTTTTTTTTGAGACGGAGTTTCACTCTTGTTGTCCAGGCTGGAGTACAGTGGCACGATCTTGGCTCACTGCAATCTCTGCCTCCTGGGTTCAAGTGATTCTACTGCCTCAGTCTCCTGAGTAGCTGGGATTACAGGTGCTCGCCACCATGCCCGGCTAATTTTTGGTATTTTTAGTAGAGACGGGTTTTCAACATGTTGGCCAGGCTGGTCTCAAACTCCTGACCTCAGGTGATCTGCCCACCTCAGCTTCCCAAAGTGCTGGGCTTATGACATAAGCCGCCACACCTGGCCTGCACATTTATTTTAATAATGTTGTCATAGCTACAGTCGCTTCTAGAGTTGCTCTTTGGGGATAACTATCTTATATTCTTCTGAATATATTTTAATAGTGACAAAACTTATCTTTGCAGGTGATTTTTAAAATTTGTATGCAGCCAAGTCACTATGAATTATCTTTAGTGAGTAAAGAGGAAGATCGAACTGGTAACACTGTGGGTAAACAACTGAAAAATAATGTTATCTTTCTCTGAACATACTTGCACAAGACAAATTCCAAAAATATTTTGACTACGTTATTTTTGAAAAGGGTTTCCAGTATTTCAATGTGACTACTTTCACTAATGGTACTTGCTTACCTAAAGTGCTTGTTAACATGCAGTTTTGGAACTTCATAGGTCTATGCCCATACTGACTTGTACTTGCTTAGTGTTGTTTTACATTCTAGTTCAACATCTATTATGTGATAGACACTGGGGATTAATAGGCTGTGGTCTTTGCCCATGAGGACCTCAAAACTTAGTTGAGAACACAGAAATACAAAGAGTCCTGTGTGAAAAATAAGTATCGGTGTTAAGATAAAGAAGCGGCAGTGGAAGACAGTGGAGGGACTGTCTGTTAGAGGGAGGAATTTATTGTGGTGTCGGCAAAGCCTTCTTTGGACTGAAGGATGAATTATGATTAGAAGTTCATTAAGAGGAGGAGGGAAGGGGACTACAGGAGTCATTCCAAGCCAAAGGAACAAAAGATACAGGGACAGAAACAGCAAGATATGTTTGGGGGAATCTCAAGTTAGTCAATACTGTTATTGTGTGAAGTTCACAACAGGGGCAGGGAGGACAGGAGATGGGGCCCAATGACGAAAAGGCCTTGTATGTACCATGTTTAGAAGTTTGAATTTTATCCTATAGGAGTCAGGGAGAGGTTCTATGGGTAGGATTTCCCATCCCAACAGGATTGTAAACTCCCACATCCAATTAGTCACACCTCCATTTTTTTTTTTTTCTGTTTCTTTAACATTGTCTCGGATTCATTCCTTCTGAAATCTACCTTATTAGTTCAGGTCTTCTTAAATTTGTGCCTGGACTGTTCACCAACTCTTGACTGGTCCTGGGGCTCCAGTTCACCTCTTGCTCCCAACAATCAATTTTCTACAGAATTATCAGAGCAATCTTCCTTTCCATCAATCTCAACTCTGTTCAAAAACTTTCAATAGTTTTATGTGACCTAAGAGGTAGCTGCCTCCCCACCCTTTCAGCTTGCCATTCAAGGCTGCATAATTTGGTCCCAACCCCCTTTCCGTCCTTGACTCCTCTCACTGCTAACAGAGACAGAACTCATTTACTTACTCTTTTGACTGTACCTTTGCTTTCACGAGGGCTCTTTCCTGGAATGATATGTCCATACAACTATTGTTGCTGTTCTTACTTTTAGCTCTTTTCTTAGAAGCCCACTTGTACCCAGGTTTGATCACACCCCCTACTCTCCTGCCCTGGAAGTAACTACTATTCTGGTTATAGTCTCTTAATATCTATATCTATATATATGCATCCACAGATAATGTGTAGTATTGTCTTGAAAAAAATATACACAAATGGTATACTTTGTCTCCCTCTGTGATTAGTTTTTTCACTATCATTTAGTTTTTAAGATTTATTCCTATTGACATAAATAGCTATAGTCTTTTCAATTACTGTGTTGCATTTCATTTTATAAATATACCATACATTATTCATCCATTCCTCTAAGGGTGGGCATTTATGTTGTTTTCAAGGTTTTGCTATTACAGTGTTACAACGAATATCCTTAGCTTAGCTGGTCTCCTTGTCTTATACAAATTTTACTGACCTTTCAAGATCCCGCTTTCATCCCAGCTCCTCTGGGAAAGCCTTCCCTGAATCCCCCAGCCCACAGCGGCAAAGTCTTGGTACTCAAAGTTGCTTGTGCATCTTTGGTATCATCCCACTGCCAAGCACACAGCTACGCAAAGTAAGGCACTTAAGAAATATTCGCTACACGGATGAACAAATGAATGAATGAATGGGGCAGCACCACTCCGTAATGGCTCTATTCCTTTTTAATGGACTTTGGCGCCTTGGCCCACTTTCCTTCTTTGACAGCACTGGTCCTACTCCAGAGCATTCCTCTAGCTAGCAAAGCAGTGTGTGGATGTGTGGGTGTAGGTGGCGATACAGACCTCACTGGATGAGGACCGCCTCTCCCTGCAAGTTCACGATCCCGGCAAACTCCAGTGCTTGAAGTTCAGAGTCCTACCCCACCCCCCTCACCCCCACGCCCCTTCTGCACTGGTCAAGCCAGCGAGCCGCTGCAGCCCTGATCGAGTTAAGGCGCGGCGGCCCCCGGGGCCGCTGGAGAAGGATGCGGACGGGGCCAGTGACTCGTATAGATCCCTCCGCGCGGAGCTCGGGCCGGCGCTTCTTCCTGCGGGAAACCCCTGGGTGCCCAAGGCGGCGGGGCCGAGGCCGCGGCGACAGTGGGGCGGGGCTTGCGGTGGGAGGAGGCGGCTGAGGCGGAAGGACACACGAGGCTGCCTCGCTGCACACCCGAGAAAGTTTCAGCCAAACTTCCGGCGGCGGCTGAGGCGGCGGCCGAGGAGCGGCGGACTCGGGGCGCGGGGAGTCGAGGCATTTGCACCTGGGCTTCGGAGCGTAGCGCCAGGGCCTGAGCCTTTGAAGCAGGAGGAGGGGAGGAGAGAGTGGGGCTCCTCTATCGGGACCCCCTCCCCATGTGGATCTGCCCAGGCGGCGGCGGCGGCGGCGGCGGAGGAGGAGGAGGAGGCGACCGAGAAGATGCCCGCCCTGCGTCCCGCTCTGCTGTGGGCGCTGCTGGCGCTCTGGCTGTGCTGGGCGGCCCCCGCGCATGGTGAGTATCGGGCTGAGGGGCGCTGTCCGCGGCGCCCGGGGCTGCCACCTGGGGCGACCCTTCTCCCCCTCAGTCCTTCTCTGTGTGGGAAGGCCAGGCTCGGCCGCCGGCGCGGAGTGAGGCCACTCGCTGGGTTCCCAAGAGTTTGGACATCGCCGGGGGCCCCTCCCGTGGTGCCCCGCCAACCGCTGGGGTTCCCCGCCGCCTCTGCTCCCCGCGGCCCGGGACCCCTCACACGCCTCCTCGGCAGGAGGGAGGCCGGCAGCAAGTCTCAGAAACTCCTTTTTCGTAGTGCCAGGGTGCAGGGAGGTGGGCAGTTTTGCCCTTCAGGTTCCGCGTTTCTTGGGGTCGAGCGAGAGCCGACGGCGGGCCTCGGAGGGGCTGAGCGAAGGAATGCCAGATTCTGGCGTGGAGAGCGGGGGCAGGGCCGCCAAGCCAAACGGCCTGCAGCTTCGCAGCCAGCCTCGCCTTTGCCAGGGGGCGGCACATGGGCCGGGTGTGTGGGCTTGGTTTGGATGGGGACGGGGTTTTGCGGCGCGCCTGAGTTTTGACACTCCAACCCCACCGAAAGTCCGGGGGAGCCGTGTGTGCTGCTCGCGTCTTTGAAAGGTGGAGGCAGGAGAAGTAGGGCAACTGGTGTGGCTGCATGCTGAGGCACATGATTTAAAAATCTCAACTGCTGTTATTCTTTCCGAGGCGCGGAGCTCTGCTGCTGTTTCAGGCTGTGTCCAGACCCAGGAATGTGGTGTGACGATCACCAATTCCTCCAACCTGGCAGCAGCATTTGCTGCTCCTTTGGCATGGCTGGGGGTGGGGCACGGGCGGGTGAGAAAAAGTGGATACGTTAATTCAAAGGGCTTCCTTAGAAAGCTTCTTTATGGTTGGATGTTTCTAACACGGTTGGACCAAGGAAAGGGAATCAAATCATATCTTCCCCATCCCACCCACACTTTTAGATTCTACATTTCTTCAGACCCTTTAGTGGAAATAACTTGGGCTTTGGAGCCCTGCTCTGTAATCCTGTATTCAAATCCAGCTCTGCTATATGAACTCACCAATAAAATGGGAAAGAAATTATCCAGCTAATAGGATTAATTAAAATAATGTATATTAAACGGATGACACTCCAAAGGTGTTCAGAAAGTCCTTTCAGGGCCGAGGCTGTGTTTTACTGCTTCTGAGATTGATGCTCCCAGTGGGATGCTGTCTTGTGCATATTTGTTGAACGGAAAGCAGCCCCTTCTTTTTCTGAGCCTAATCTGAATAAAGATTTTTACCTTCACCAAAAAACTAGTACATGAACTACATCTGTTTTCAAAGAAAAGGTTAGGAAGATGATGAGCTTCAGAAAAATATGGTCTTTGTTCATTGTTAACAGTCAGTCGACATGTCAATCGCAGATGTTTAAAAAGAGAACAAGGTTATTTATCACCCGAAAATAGTACTGGGTTGTTCAGCACCAACTAGATACTTCTTGGAAAGTTCAAATTTCGTACACGTCTAGGTCACTAAGAATTTCAGAAGTGGACCAGGAGGCTTTGTAGTGATGAAGCAGAGCTGTTGTTTCTGAAGCATTTAATAAAGAGCATATATGATGGTGTTTTTGCTTTTCCTTTTTCTTTGAGTGAAAGCTTTAAGTGTAGCTTTAGGATAGAGAGGAGTATAATCAATGAGACAGTCTGAGGGTAATAATCCTTGGTCTATCATTAACTTGTTTTGGTAAATAACTTAATCTTCTTGATATGTAGTCTCCTCACCTATGAAGCAGGACTAAAGGAATAACCTGCTTTAGAGAATTGTAGGGAATAATAAATATGATTGTAAAGTGATTTGAAAAATTAAGTATTAAATAATATGTCAGAAATGGGATTACTCTGACACATAGGGCTTCTTTTATTATAGGATCTCAGTGCATAAAACTATGCCCTCCACCTCTGCTCTGCTGAGGTGCTGCGATTATTAGCTAGCTTTTAGGTAGTCAAGTTGAGTGTTAGTCAAGTTGACTCAAAGGATAGGATTTAGATATTTTGATTTTTAGACAGGTGTTCTTTAGATGCTAAACTAATGCAGTAGAAGAGATTTAGAAGCCGTTTCTTGGTACAAATCTTAAATCTTCTTAGAGTCTACAGTGAAGGCTTCTTGAATCCTCCTAATTTATTATTGTGTTTTGCTAAGGTACCAATTACAGCACACCCTTCTAAACTTTTGAGTGTTCCTGTGTTTGGCTTGTGGCCAATTGTTAATTTAAACATCACGGAGTTTCTAAGGCAAGGAGATGTTAGCAGTATGTCTGATTGTCTAAACAGCTATCCAGGACCATCCTCTTGCTCCTTGTTTTCTTTTGCTTTGCAATGGGAAGTGACTCCCTGATTTTGCTGCCTGCTAGATAATTTCTCAGCTGAATTCTTCTCTTGCTTAAACAAAATCGGAGTAATTTTCTTTCAGATGGTGATGAAATTTAACCTAAAACTATTTTTCCTTTCACTTTCTTATTATTCCTTTTTTTTTGGTGTGGTGGAGAGGAGGAGAAGAGTGATTCCTAGTCTCTCTTATTTTTCTGAATGTTTAGATTTAAAAAATATTTACCCATAACTTCTTGGGATCTCTCTGCTCCATTCCCACCCTACTGCCTCTCCTGTAGGCTTCTATGACATAGAGGAGCAACTTTTGGTTCACCTGGATTGTAGTTGCTGACTTCAAGACCTTTAGAGAATGTTTAAATTCAGTGGGATATGCTTGGATGGTTCAGAGCAGCCTTACAATACATCTTAAAAATATCACACCCACAGAAATTCTATTTTGCCCACAAAATTTGCATTGATCTAGTTCCCACTCTGTGTTGCCATTCCTAGTGATCCTCCTCCCTACCTCTCCCATTATGGTAGAAAAAAACTCTGTGTCCTGGCTACATCAAAATCTGTTGGGGTGGATCTTGGACTCAGCACCCAGGGATTCTGATAAGGTAAGTTTGAGAATCCATATTTTTTCAAGGTTTACAGGTGATTCTGACAAGTAACTTGGTTGCAACCCACTGATTAAGTACATTTTTTTTTACCTTCAGGTGTGTGTATGAGGTCTTTCTAAATTTAAGAAATTTCCATAACAAATGTAACCTTAGTCATTCCAGTGTTTAACGCTTCTGACTCAAGAATTTTAAAATTGCTAACATAAGAGATATAGAATATAATGTCATTTCTTCTGTTTATCTGGGTGCAGTATGTCTGCATTGACCCTTTAGAAGGGCTTCATATATTTAGATGATATAATAAATTCTCCACCTCTCCTTTTCCCTTTTCTTCTGTTATCTCTTTTTCCTTAAATGTCATTCATACATGTTGTTTTTTGACCCTTTATCTATATACGTCTGCAATGATTTTAGAGTAAAAAACTGCAAGGCGTGATTTGAATAAGGATATAAGAAATTTTACATCATTTTCTTTATATTGTGTTCACAGTCCATAGTTACATGCTTCCTTTCTTGATGTCTCAGTTCGAATGCCTAAATTTGAACTATTAATTTTCCTTCCACGCTTTCCTGATTTTCCTGTTTTTGTTTCCCCCCCTTTCTCTGCAAATGACTTGAAACCAAAAGGTCTTCTTTTCTTTCTTTGTCAGCCTACCATATGTGTAGTATTTTGGACAGATCACTGAACTAGGAGCCAGAAGACCAGAATTCTTCTCCAGGTCTGTTATTAATTGGTTTGGTGACCTTGTAGGAGAGCCACTGTTTCGGTCCTCCATTTTCTGATGTTCATTGTTCATGGTCACAGAGCCAATTAGAGTTGAGACTAGAATTCCTTTCTTCTGGTGTCCAGTGCCTCATTCACTGTCCACGTTGCTTCCATCTCGTGTACAAATGCGCTTATGTGCACAAAAACTCTTATAACATCCTCAAGTGCTTATTGTTAATGCGTACATGAGGAAGGAATCGTGTATTTTCATTTATGTGTTTATTCTAATGCCCATACCCTACCCCTGTACCTGGCATGATGCCTTGGTATCTAATAGGCACACAATAAATACTTGTTCAGTCGAACAATTATTTTTAGCCACTTTCTTATTTTGGACAACTGTGGTACTCCTAGACATTTTAAAAATAGTATTTGCAGGAGTCATGCTTACCTTACATTTGGGGAAAAACCAAATTTTTCCCTTCCCCAGATGTTTCATTTAAACTTGTAATTTTGAATTTCTTTGTGTGTGGGGTTTCTTTCTTTCTTTTTCTGATCACTTCTGCAATTTATAAATCACTTTGACTTTGGAATCTCACTTCAAAGGCACTGCCATCCACCCCCTGCCTCTCACTCAAGTTTGCTTCCACTGCTTCCTGTATTACTGTATTACTAGGCCAGCAATTTCTGTTATTTTGTCCAGAATAGCCACACCTTACTGTAATTTCATCATTTTGGGGACTAGTCATTTTTGGAATACTATTTTTAAAATTAGAGTTAACTAAGTTTATATTTATTTTGATAATTTTTTTGAGATTTTTTTCATTGAGTTGGATATTGCAAACTTGTACTGGATTGAGAGAATATGTACATTTAGTAAAGTATATTTGCTTTTTTTTTTTTTGAACCAAGAGAGTCCCCTGAACACCCTACTGACAAAAACTAAAGGTGAAATATGATGAATAAATACTTGAGAGAATCACATGGTGTTGAGTTGTCTCTGCCACATGATTTTGATCCTTGAGGGCCAGGTCTGTGCTACACACATTTCTTCTCTGTACTACAGAACTTGTCTGGCATGTGCCCCAAATTCAGAGTCAACTGAGTGGCAGGTCTTAGTCACAGCATCTATGACTCCTGCTTTCCCACCTTTAGAACATTCTATAGGAGAGGCTGATGGTGAGTTGGAGTGTGTTTCTATGTTCTTTTTTCCTTTGAAGAGATAGGATCAGTTGAAAGCTGACCCCACCCACAGACTTTTTTTGCTATCTCTCTTAATTAATTAAGGAGTGGCTGAAATTTTCCTCTTTGTTGACTTATGCATTGGCGGGAACTTTAAAATTCATCTAGTCTTTCTGTCCATCCCATGCTGGATCTGATGTTTACAACATTCTAGTCAAGAGGTACCATATTTTCTCTCTTCTTGAACATCTCTTGTGGTAGACAGCTCTCCACAGCAGTTTATTCCATCTTTGGCCAGCTCTAATTCTTAGAAAGATCTTCTTATATTCAGCTGTAATCCGTCT
The DNA here is from genome assembly GCF_000001405.40 of Homo sapiens. Lineage (NCBI taxonomy): Eukaryota > Metazoa > Chordata > Mammalia > Primates > Hominidae > Homo > Homo sapiens. Next base: position 339,941 of record NW_025791753.1, read on the forward strand.
CCTCATGACTTGTCCTCATTGACATCTACTCAGAAATTTGTCTCAGAGTCCTGAGACCTGTGCAGGTGATAGGGACCCAAAGAGATGCTTGTCTGTAGACTTTACTGAGCTGACACCCAGCTCTCCATAAAAGGAGTCAAACCCAGTGAGGAGCATGTCTGGGGTGATTGCTCAGGTAAAGCATCTTAGCCCTACTTGTTTCATACCTCCCTGCACAGGTGGGCACTGGTGGGAGAATAACATTTATCAAGCAGTGTTTCCCTAACTTCTCTTATGATAAGAATAGCTCAGGTGTTCTCATGGAGATTCTGATTCAGTGCATCTGGAGTGTCATCTGGGAATTTGTGTGTTCAAGAAATAGCCAGGTGATTCTTACATTAGGAAAGTTTTAGAATCACTGCAGAGTGAATCTGGGAAATCAAAGTGTTTGTTTTTGTTTGTTTGTTTTTTGAGAGTATTAGAGACAGGTTGCTTTGGCTAGATCCTGTGGTCATTTTTCCCCCTTGGAAATGCCTCCTACTTGCTGGCCTCACTTAGTACAGAGAAGAAAGCTGCTATGGTATAAGGTTAGTAAAGTTGTTTGTTTTGTCTTAAAAGAAATTTGTGAAATCCAGCATTTTCGGACTTCTGTTTGTGTTGTATGACTTTGTTGTAAGCCTCCTTATTCCTCCATTAGAATGTTACCTGAGATGTTAGAATGCATAGGAGTTCCACAGCCTTTTTGGTGTCCACTAAAGAATTCTGTCCTCAGCTGTTGCAAATGGTGCTTCCTTTGAGGATTTCTGCTTCATTAGCTCATGAACACATATTTGGTGTCGGCAGTTTCCCTCAGATGTGTTAGTGTGGAGAGATATAAAGGTCACTCATTTCTGGTGGTCCTGCTTTTGGGGTTTCTGGGCTGCTGCAGCAAATGAAATAAGGAAAGGAAAATAAAGGAGGAATCTAGGGCTTCTTGAGCAGAACAAAACAATCTACAAGAAGGGGCACAGGATTGCTCCTCTCACAAAGACACTTGATAATACTGTCCTTGATAGGAAGAAGGAAGTGGCTTCAGATCTGAAAGGATATGCTCATAGGCTTGAGACGGGACAAACTGCATCACTGGTAGTGGTAGGAGGTTTGCCGTAGATCTGTTTTTTCTCCTGTCTCACTTTTTGGAGGAGAATATTATCTGTGTGGCAGAACATACATTGTGGTCTTAAAAAGGAGAGTAAAGCCAAGAAAGGGGGATGATAAAGCCATAGCTTGGAATAAGAAAAGCAAAGGAATTATTTTATTAATTTGTGTATGTAAATACATAGGTTTCCATGTAATTCACTGGTAGGATCACTAGCCCTTGGCACTAACATTTGCTATCTTTGTAGCTCTGCTGTCTTAGTGGTGTATTGGGGGAGCATTGTGGTGTGTTGTCACACTTAATTTGTGTGCTTCCCTTGGCATCATGTGGTAGCAAGTACAGGGTATTCTCCTCTTCTAGATGTGTGGGAATCATTGACCAAGTAGAAAATATGGTCCTGCTCCCAAGGAGCTGACATCATCATGGAGACAAGACAGATAAGCACACAATTAGGAATATGAAATACAGTTATTTTATCATTTATCTATGCTCTCTGAAAGCAGTTTCCTGCAGTCAGGGTGACTCGGAGCTATAGGGTCTTGGGAGTAAACTTCAGGTCTTAATACCACCAGGGAAAGGCGACCTCCAGCTCACCCTTGCTGGGCTTGTCTGCTGTCGTGAGCTGTCTGCCATTTTCCTCTTTCTGTGTTGTAATTTAGAAGTATTAGAACTTGGCTTGGGGAAAAGACAAAAACCCCTTTGTCTGGTGAGGGTGTAAATATAAATTTGGCACATGTTGTGGTGTCTATTATGTCTGTTAGTGGGTTTGCGGCAAGAGAGAGTGCTGTGTTCTTAGTCCCGAATGCCAAGCCTGAACTAGGACAAGTTATGGTGGAGATATCTTCCTTGGAAGATGCAGTTCTCAGTGGCAGTGGCTGAAGGAACTTCTCGTCACAGCCAGGCAGTGACTGAAGTGTGGTGTGGACACACCCAGAGTTGCTGCCTCAGGTGGCATTGATTAATCATACTAATATCTCCCTCACCCTTTTGTACTTGTCTTGGCAAAACCCTGTTCTACTAGCTCCCCAATAGTTTGGCCTTTACTAGGTATGATTGAACAAGCTCTTGGGGGTTCACCTTAGTGTCCCTTGCCCCTCTCGCATTTCCAGCCAGCTACGTCGCTCCAGCCATGGTACCCCGGGTCCTCTGGCCAGGCAGTGAGGGGCTGGGTTTTTCTTCCCATTGGACTGAAGCACCTTTCCCTGGAGGCTTGCCTAGGGCAGTTTCTGGTCTCCGAGTCAGTTCCTTCTGCAGGATACTGGCAGCTGGCAGAACTCTGGGTTATTTGAATACATCAGCCAAACATCTTGCCAAGATGGACTCATTGTTGCATAAAGACAGGTTGGATCTATGGGTGTTGCAGAACCTGTTTCTGGGTTAAGAGTAGCTCTCTCACCCTTATTATATATGTTTATTCATATGATGAAAGTATGTGTGTATTTTGTGAAGTAAGGAAAACATGATGATAATATTGTGGTTGGAGTTAGATACCTTATCCTAAATATGTTGTCTTTTTAACAAATAGCATTCCTTTAAAATACAGTTGTGCTTGATGAATAAGGTGTTGTACAAGAAGCTGTGGTTACATTCTAAAATAAACTGCCTTGTTCTGAGGCAGGCACGTTTTAAAATTGTTGTTTGCTTCTTTTTCATCTCTTTTTATTTTCATCTTTTTTTTTGTGAGAAGATTCTGTAAGTTTTTAAGCTTCAAATATTTTCAATAATCTATTTTAACGGGTACCTAGCAGGGAGAGGTTGTTCTATTGGTATACCTAACCAACATTCAAATAAGAATAATTGAATACTGTTTATTCACTAATCTGTTCTGTTGAGTTTCTAAGTATGAATAATCACAAAACTAGATAGTGCTGATATATCAACTTCTCTAAATGGTAAATGTGGTAAGTAGCAAAGACATTTTTGTTTAATTCTCTCCTTACACATGCTTTGGTTCAGACGCTGTCAAGACACATTGAAGTTTGAGGACATGTGTATTTCGATTATTTTATTATATTTTTATTTGCTGTGAATATGGGTTTATTTATTTGCTAGATCTTCTTTAGTTAGAAACATTAAGGGCATTTACTTTATTACAACATTTAAAGTGCATTCTAATCTTCATGAGGAATTTTAGGTAAAAGACCGTATCCTGAGATTCATGCAAGTCTTTGGCATTATGTTACTATTTAAAGTAAGTAATATGTAGTGGCTTCTCTGACATATTCTTTCTAAGAGAGTTAAGGAAAATAGTTGTAACTAAAAACAAACATTGAAACAGTTTAAGGTAAGTTTACGTAGCAACAGAATTATTCGTTATGTTTACAGATAATTAACTCGTATTTATACTTTGCTGATTTTCTCTGGCACCTTTACAAGATTTTTTTATTTTTGTAAAATAAAAAGTAATTATGTTTGAAAAAGTAGTTAAGGATGTTTGAAGAATCTAGAAAAGCATAAATAAAATGTCCACAATCATGCTGGCATTAATTTTTTGGTATACGTCTTTGGTTTTTTTACCCTTAGATTTAGAAAAGCTGTTGATTTATTTTTATATATATATATATATATGTTTAGTTTATGAACAGATCTACATATATATATATATGCACACACACATAATATACTATTGTCAACACTAGGTTTTATTTTTAAAAATCTTTACCATTTGATAAGTGGTAAATATTACTTAATCTTAATATGCCTCTCTCATTACAGTGATATTGAATGTTTTTTCATATCATCAGTGGCGTTTGTATTGCCTTTTTTTCTACTTCTTTTGGTAAATTGTGTCTTTTACTCATTTAATTATTTTCTTACTGGTTTGAAAAAGCTCTTTAAATATTAAGGGTGTTAGTCTTTTGTCTTAAATATGTCACAATATGTATGGAAATAATTAGCAGTATATAACATAACATCAAATTGCTACCAATGCTGATATAAAAATTGTTCATTTCATAGGTTAATTTTTTTAATCCTTTGGTTTCTAATGATATTGGTTAATTCATTTGTTAACTGCTATTTTCTGTAGCTACTTGAAAGTTCTTATCTGACTGTATCGTAAATCAGCATGCTTTCAGCTGTATATGTCTAGGAAATTGACATTTACTTTAATACTTAATAAAAAAATATGTTGGAGAAAAGCAGTGTATTCTGGAGTCAAATACATGATTTTGGGTGGGTGACGTAATCGGCTACTGTCCTCCTTTTCTAGATAGCCAAGATTTTTGAAGCATTTAACATCCCTGAAAGGCAGGACTAATGCTATGTCTACCATGCACTGCTAATTCTGACACTTTGACCTAATGGATAAATGCCAGTACAGTGGGTCTAGCCAGTTAGCTTGGTCAGAGAACAAGATGACTAAGATTCTCTCCCCCTTTCCTCACCAAATTGATTAGTTGTAGGACAGAACTGACTGAAGCAACCTGTTGTTTTGGCAACCCATGGACACCACCTGTTTCTTCCATTCCTCTGTCCAGCCTCTCACTGCCCTAGTGCAGTGCTGTGTGCACAGTGGGTAGGAGATCAATGTTGTTGCTAAAGAATGTAGCAATAAAGAAGAGTAGATTGCTTTTTTTCCAAGCTTTTGTGTTTTTAAGGCACCCCGCTGGTTTTGACATTCGTTGCTCCAGCTGAACTGCTCTATGCTGAAGCCCTGCAGGTCTCAAGTGTTTGGTTCAGAGTAATTTCAGGCCATATGAATGCTTTCTTAAGTATCATTGGAATTTACTGGGCTGGCTGTCTGCCAGCTATTACCATATTTAGCATGAAGAGACCTGGGGAATGAGGACATTTCTGATCAACCAAGGAAGGAAACCTATTTGAAGGATTACAATATTTTCTTTTTTTTTTTTTTAATGGTGTAGTTCAGAAAACGCCAGTTAGACCGAGACTCAAATTTATGTCCACTGGTCTTTGTTTCTGTGCCCCATCCCAAAATTAATTTATGAATAGGAAAAGAGATTTGATAGTGAAGTTCTTTCTCACTCTGAAGTCTAATACTGTTTCTGGGAGGAAGTAAGAGAATTATTATGCCCACACTGTGCACTGAGAGGCTTAACCAGCAGGTGAAGCTGTTGATTAAAAACATAGGTTGATGAGTATTCTCATTTTTCTCCTTTGAAGCTTTCAGAAATTTTCTGCTTTGTCCTGGTCTAAATTTATTTTGGCCCAGCCCTTGTCTCCACCCTACATTTCAAACCAGTAGCCTTCCCTCTATGGCTCAACATTTCTCTGCCTCAGTTTTTTCCATTTTAAAGATGAAGATATTGTTTGGAAGGACCAGTAAATACAATTAATATAAAAATTACTTCTGTAGAATCAAACAACCTCCAACATTTCTGTTGGAAATTTATAGTTTATAGAGTATTCTTACACAGTGATCTCCTTTAATCCTCACAAACTTGGTGGAAATGGAGCCTCACAGGGGTTAGGTGACTTGTATACATTGTTTACCCCTACATAATAAGTGACAGAGCTGGTACTTAAACTTGTGGCTTGATTTTTCTTTTTTTTTGAGTTGGAGTTTTGCTCTTGTTGCCCAGGCTGGAGTGCAATGGCGCAATCTTGGCTCACCGCAACCTCCACCTCCCGGGTTCAAGTGATTCTCCTGCCTCAGCCTCCCGAGTAGCTGGAATTACAGGCATGCACCACAACGCCTGGCTAATTTTTTGTAGTTTTAGTAGAGACGGGGTTTCTCTATGTTGGGCAGGCTGGTCTCGTACTCCTGACCTCAGTTGATCTGCCCGCCTCAGCCTCCCAAAGTGCTGGGATTACAGGCGTGAGCCACCGTGCCTGGTCCTTGCAGCTTGATTTTTTAAACATCAGATTTTTTTTTCTTTTTTGATTTTTATTATTATGTGTCTGTCATTCTGCTAGGGGCTTTGCAAATATTGCTTTATTTAATTCATATGGCTATCCTTTGGAGTAGACAATATTTTTCTACATTATAGGTAAGGAATTTGGAACTTAGGTTCACAGCTTTGGATGTTGGCCTATGGTTAGTGAGGGGTGTAGCCAGGATTCAAACCCCTGTCTGGCTCTAGGGCCGCTGCAATAAATCATGGTGTTTTATGTACATTCATACACTTAACACTTTGCAACAACCCTAAGAGACAGGGGTAGGTATTTAGGGAAACTGGGGCTTCTAACTTGCACAGGATAATGCAGTTAGTAAGTGGCTTAGTCGAGATTCAGAGCTAGATCTGTCTCCATAACCCTCACTCATTCCAGGATACTGCAGATGCCTATTTTTATGATATGTATAAGTAAAAATTAATTTGAAAAACTACCTTCTTTGAAGGGTCAGCCAGTTAGAACTCTTTTGTATCTTCTGAATAAGTAAGAAGTGGATGGACATTAGCTGACCGATACATTGATGGCTTTTAACCTTCTATCAGTTGATTTCCATTACCAGGACAAGCAAATATAATTTGGAGGGAAAAGAGGGGAGTTTCCATTAAGGATGAATCTTTAAGCCGAAAAGGGCCACAGTGATGAACTCTTCAGAGGACTGCTCTCAGGAGCAATGGCCCTTCTCCTCTGGGCTCTGCTTGGGGCATTCCTGTTTGTATTTATGGAGACATCTTTTTGAAAGGCAGATGCCAGCTTTGGTGGGGAGAAGGTTGGAAAACATACAAGCCTTGCTCTAAATTTACTAGCCCTGTGTCTTTGGGCTAGTTTCTGAAGCATGGTGTGCCTCAATTTTATTATTTTAAAAATAAAGATAGTAGCAGTATATTTTGGAGTTGTTATGAAGATAATATCAGTTAATAAATGTTAGATTCATTGGACAGTACCAGGCACATAGTTAAAGTGCAGTAAATAGTAGTTATTGTTGGTATTGGTGTTATTTTATGTTGCAGTACAGACTGGCTTCTTGGTGCATTCACTTTTCTTTAATCAAAAGTGGATGAGTGATTGGGAACCTTCATGAGGAAATAGGAACATCATCTTTGCAGCCTGTGGATTGTTCACTGGTTTCCTGTGATCTAATAATTATTTAAGGGTTTCATATTTGAGTCTCTTCCCTTAATGAGGTACACTTTCAGTTTGGGGAGATTTTATCTATAGGCATACCTTATTTTATTGTGTGTTCCCTTTTATTGTGCTTCACAGATTTTGTTTTATTTTTTACAAATTGAAAGTTTGTGGCAACCCTATGTCGAGCAAATGTATCAGCACCATTTTTTCCAATAGCATATACTCACTATATGTCCCTGTGTCAGTATTTTTTAGCAATAAAGTATTTTTAAACTCAGGTATATGCATTATGCTTTAGACATAATGCTGTTGCATGCTTAATGGACTAGAGTATACTGTAAACATAACTTTTGTATGCACTGGGGAACCAAAAAATTTCTGACTTGCTTCATTGTACTGTTTGCTTTATTGAGGTGATCTGGAGCTGAAGCCACAATATCACAAAGGTATGCTTGTATTATGCAAATTGCATTGATAGGTGTTAAATCATTTTCCCATTTTTTATTAACCACACATTTGTGATTGGATGTTATGTTTAGTAAAGATATTGTGATTTTCTGAGGTACAGCTTTGAGAACAGTATCAGGTCTAACACTCTTGTTTCCAAATTTCCTATGATATGACAAACATAATCACATGCCATCCAGTGTCACCATGCAGAGTACTAATGTGAAGCCAAAATACTTGGTGTTTTAATTAGCCTTAAAGCAGTTAACGAACTATCTCTGTTAGACATTTTGAAATAATAAAAATATCCCATTGTCTTTTATTACAACCTCAGGGGCTCCTGGAGATTTTGGGATCTTGTGTGGGGAACCACCCATCTAATCCATCCTTGTTTTAAAGAGAGAAAACCAAAGAAGCAAAGTGACTGGCCCAAGTACCTAGAGCTGGGTCAGGGTTGGGGCCAGAATCCAATCTCTTGACTTTTAGTCAAGTGATTTTTCCACTATGCTCAGTACTCAAATTATGTATCAATATGTCGGCCCTTGTTTTTTGAGGTCTGAAAAGGGTTAGTGCCAGTCAACAACAGTAGAGGAGTAGAAAGGGTGTTGGGATGGGAGAGGTGTGGCTATATTTAAAATTTCAATGACAGCAGTGAAAATAATTTGCCTGTGAACCTCTGCCTGTCCCTTTGGACTTCTTTGTACTAGTTGAGACAACTCGGCAGGTCTGGTGTCATTAGTGATTCAGAATTGGATTAGCCTGGACTGGTGGAGTTACTTTCTCAGAAAAGGGCTTTATATTTTAACATTTGTTTCCCTTGACAGTTTGCTTCTTCTCAAGTTTTGGCAGCCTTGAACAAGTGGTTGTCAGGTTTTTATTTTGTTTTGTTTTAAGAAAAAATTCCAAATTTTATTTTGCCGATTTAGTAAGTTATCCTCTACCTGCCACTCCCTTCTGCTCCCTCTATAATTATTTCTAAGACTTTATTTTTCCATTGTGGGAACATTATGGAAGGTTTTCTTTTACAGTCTGAGATATTTATAATTACGTGTAAGCACACAGTTTATAGAATATGTAAATGGTCCATATGTTAACTTAAATACCCTTAAAATATTTTCCAATAATTTAAATCTTTCCATAAAAGTAGCTGAAGCTGCTTATAATAAAAGAGAAGTATACACGAAGGATAGCAGAATTTGGATGTAGTTAATATAGATAAATATGAATGTCACTTTGGAGGAACTGGAAGTATTTGCATGAATACTGATCAAGCCATGCCTCCTTGTTAATAGAGTGAACAAAACAGATGAATGTTTCTGTTTTCATGAAGTTTATGTGACTATCAGTAGCTTCCATATTCTGAGGGTTTATTATGTGACAGATGCTTGGGGACAAAATACTTTACTTGTTTCCTTTAGTCCTTAAAATAGATGTTAGGATTCTTGTTTACAGAAAAGTTAAGGAATGTTCATCCAGATCACCTAGCCAGTCAGTGGTAAAGAACAGTCACTGGAACCCCTCTTTCCTGATCCAAAGCCAACATACTTAACCATAATAAATAATGCCATTGTCTGGTGGAATCCTGTAGTCCCTTAGATAGTGTAATTTTGTATTTAATGTAAACATTTTGTGCACTAGACTGACTTACATTTTACTTTTTAAAACAATATTTTAATTCTGAATGAACATTTGCATAATAGGAGAATGATCTAAATTGCAAACTTCCATTTTGAAGAGTTGTAGTTCTTTTAAATCTTTTTGTAACTGGGAAGAAGAATGGAATTATGTTTGTTATAATCCAAGGAAAGTTGGTTAGCATTCTTTCCTGTTACTTTTTGATCCCAAAAGAAATTCTTTAGTAGATCAAGACCAGGAATGAATGTGTGGATTTTTTTAAATAAAAAATTGAGAGAGATTGTAACTAGCAATTCAGAGCCAGATTTATGTTCAGAAATGTTTGATGCCAGCCGTTTTAGTTACAAATAGCTTTTTCTTGACTGTACAGTTGTGTTCTTATGGTACCATTCTGAAAGTGATGTAAGAGACCATGTAAAATGATTGGAATGCCTCAGCATCTGAACAATGCACATAGCCAATTATTAAAATTACCCAGTACTAACCTGTCTTGGCTTAGGAACTATGGAATTAACTGTGGGTAGCATTTCTACACATATCATTACAGAACAAGCATAAAGACAAGCTTGTTTTTTTCCTTTTCTGTGGATTTGTTTTTTCTTATTACCATATCTTTTGTTACTGAAAACTGGTGGTCATCTGTACTAATAGATAAGAGAAGTGTGTTTGACACCAATACCTAATCTTAGATTATCCCTGCTATTTTAAAACACCGTCCTTCACCTACATGCTCAGACATGTGGGTTCTTTCAAACATACTGGACTTCCTCCTTAGGTTTTAGTTGTGTTAGTTAATAGTTGAATGTTGAAGGAGAGGATGCCAAGGGATATTAAAGAAGGTAAAAGAGATAAGTGACAGCAAACATTATTTATTTTTAATTATCTCTCAGAATGACTTTTAGATACCCTTCCCTACTACATTTTGATTTTTGCTTTAGCATAGCTGGTGAGTTTTGGAATCAGAGAGACTGGGCTCTGATTTGTACTAGCTAAGAATATTAGACAAGCCACTTAACTTCTTTAAGTCTCAGTACCCGTATTTATATAATGGGAATAATAGTAATATCTAACTTGCAGGATTGTTTGTAAAGATTGAAAGCAACATATTTAATTGTGCTTGCGTGGTTCTGGGCACAGAATAGGCACCCGAGTGTAGGGGCCCCTGAACTTTAAAGTTCATTACTTTCATGGTAATTCCTCCTTTGGAATATATAGCCTGGGAACATTTGTCTCTAGACCTTGTTTCAGTTTCTTTTAATGACTCCCTTTAGGCTCTGCTTCATGGCCAACACAAGATTATGGATCACCTAAAGAGTAGACTAAAAGTACTATTGTCTAGTAACTTCAAGTTTGTAGGTTAACTCACTGTGAATCAAAAGCTTTTAAAAATCTTTTGCGTGGTCATAGTTTGTAGTGTCTTGTACCTCTCATCTCAGAAGCAATTGATTCATAGAAAAAATTATTTAGGATTTCAGATTAAAGATGAAGAACTCTTCCAATAAGAAGGAACTGATTTGGTTGGATTATTTGTTTCTTTCACCCCTGAGTTTTCATGGAAATCAGGTTTAAAATGTTAGAAGCAGTTGGTTTTCAGCATTGGGAAAGCTTATCTGATCAGGCATGCGAAGTGGCCTATGTCGGATTTCTGAGCTAGGAAAGGCTAGGGGAGGTTGAGGAGATTATTGTACTTGTAATTCCTGAGCATGGTTGAGACACAAGGAGAGGATTGTGGAAATTGTTTTTAAAAAATTGTTGAAGTTAATGCATTCTTGGGTGGATTTGCAAAACAGAACAAAACAAAAAGTTGTTGAAGTTAGTTACACTGGTCTAACAACGTATACTTACCACCCCCATTTGGGCTGGAGGAATGGATCTAATAATAATATAGGTGTTTGTGATCTAATTTGAATCATGTAATCATTTATCATTTCTGGGTTAGATGGTAAGGATTTTCTGTTTCACAGATTTTTAGACTGGGAATTGTGCTATTATAAAATAATATTTTACATTAAATAATGCTTTCTAGGTTGTAATCACCTTAATAGACATGATTTATTTGGGCCACAAATGAACTCTGGTAAGAATGGAGGGCTGGTTACATTATTTTAGTTTTACAGATGAAAATAATCAGTCTCAAATAGCTTAAGGGAATTCCTTTAGACCATATGGTTAGTATATGGAAAAGCCAGAGCTAGAACCCAGGTTCTGATTTCCAGAGCAGTTCTTATTTCATGATACCGCATAATTTTATAATGTCCCTAAATCCGAATTTCATTTCTCATGATGTGAAAGGATTCTCTTTATTTCTGTTTGGTTAGCTGCATCAGAGCATGACAGAAATGGAGCAGAATTCGAGTATTCTTTCCCCAGATGGGTCAGTTAGCTTTTCTTAAAGCTATTCTGTGCTTACATTGTTAATCAGTTGTCCCTGGTTCCTAGACAGGATGTTGATCCATGTGAAATAGGCAGGAATATGTGTCTGACTCAGCTTAACTCATCACAACTTTCATATGTCCTGCTAGTGGGTCTATAATGTCACCCTCGTTTACAGGCGTTTTTAATTTTCTGATGTCTATTTCTTAGTATTTTTCCTCAGCCATTTTTAATGTCTCAAGCCATAGTTCTTCCTGAGTGGCCTGAAGTGATTTTGCTGCTCTTTAAAGCTTCCTTAAGGTTTTTCAAGAGCGTACAACATAGGCTGCTTCTAAGTGTATTTTTATTTCCTAGCTCTTAGCATTTCTCACCTTATCATTATAACTTTAAATTTAAACAGAATACAAATTGTGTACACAGATGGGTGTGTCACTATTGCACTGTCACTTATGTAAGTGCAGTTTAGCATTTCTTCTTTCCTTTTAATCAAAATGAGGAAATAGAAAATGTTTTGTTATGGTAGTTTTACACATACACCCACAAGGAAATGTGTATCTAGAGTCTGTGGGAACTGTGACTTGATACATTTCAGGGAATAAAATGTATGATGGCTAAAATTTTAACTCTGCCAAATGTTCACGGGGAAAGAAAAATTAACAAACTCACATTTTACACTTTATTTTAGCCTAGTCTCTGCCTTGTTTACATCTATATGATAATGAAGCTATACTTGTCTTTCCACAACAGTGTATTTTATAAGTTGTACCTTTTGTTTAAGGGAGCCTTCTTAACAAACTTTCTTTCAGTTGTCCAGTGTACAGAAGCTTACTGGAAGGAGTGGCCAACTAGTTAAAGGTTTGACACCTCAATATCAACAAAATGCCAAGTGGATCATTTTGACTCTCACAGCAATCCAACTGGACATTTGACCATGCCCCGTGGTCAGTGGAGAGCTTCTTCTCTGAAGGCCACTTTTATCTAGCACATCAAGGCTATACACCTCTTTCACTAAGAAGAATTTGGCACTTTTATGTTGTGAGAGCTGAGATTCACCATTCTCCACCATCCTGAGAAGAGCTTTGATAGAAGGGCTACTCCTGAGGTACATAGATTATCCAAAATACATACAATTTTTTCATAGAAAATTATATATGTATTATAATTTTTATTCAAGACAGGTTGAAATTAATAGATTTCTTACATTCACTGCATTAAAGGAATATTTATGGCTTTGGTAATATTTTAAATTTCAAATTAAAAAATTTGAATATCTGAATTAAGTATCTCTGATTTAACTCTGTGTGTGTGTGCGTGTGTGTGTGTGTGTGTGTGTGTGTGTGTGTGTGTGTGTGTGTTGGGAGGAGGAATAGACCTTGGAATTGTTTTTTCAAAACTTTTTTTATAATAGTGCCTAATCTCAGTTGGCAAGGAATAGCTGTCCAGAATGCTGCATAGATCTAGTGAAAAGATTTAGGGAAGTTGTAACTAGTTTAATAACCATCTGTGGAGTGACATAGATTGACACACCCAATTACACAAGACCTGAGTCTGAGAACTGTTGATGTGCAATCATCCCATCAGCATCTGCTCGTCATTATCAACAACAATAATGGCTCAACTATTTCTTTGAGGCCACATGAAAAGACAGTGTACCCATAGCAAAGGATAAGTCAGACCTGAAAAAAACATAGCCCTCTGCATCCCCTTGTTCCCAAACTTCTTTTTAAACATAACCTTTTGTGAAGTTCTGAAAGAATTCATTTTATGTTTTCTTTTTATTAATTTTTCTTCTTAAATACCATGTCTTTCTGGCTGAAATCCTTGCCAAAACCAGGAAGGGCCAGTGTACTGTGGGTGATTTTTCTAATTCATTTCTTTGTCATTTGAAGCCTTCTGTGGCTTCATGCTGCTTTATGTGTGTGTAAATATTCAGTATCTTTTCTAGTTTACACTTTTGTCACAACTGCTATTAAGCCACCTATGGACACATTCTAATATAAATTATTTTGGCCACTGTGAGTGGGAGGGAAAGAATCAGTTCACAGGGATAAATTTGCATGTTGAGAAGATAATATATAATAGTTTGCAAAACACTTCTATGTACATTGTATCTTTTATAGAGACAAGGCCATGTTTTTATTTGTAGAGACTGAGACAGAGACCCCATGAGATCTAATGCAGAGTCACATGACTCCAAAGCCAGGTCTTCTATCTGCTCTTTGGTATATAACTGGATCATTATTCTATTGACAGAAATAAGGAATCTTCTTATTTTTCAAAGGCACCCTTTTGCCCTTGGAAGGTATATTTAGAAATCCTTTACCAGAGTAGAAAGAAGACAGTTATATTTTCCTGCCTTTTGATAAAAAACAGTGTGTTTTTTCTAAATCTTGTTGTGTTTGACTAGAGTCTGATTAAGGTACCTTTTGGGAAATTAAGGTTCTATAGAAATTACTGGGCTCAATCTAGTGATACAAATATGTGTTGTTTGATTTATCAACACATTACAAACTTTAACTTTGGAGTTTTAATATCTGGTTATCTTTAATATCTGGTTATCTTCTTTCTGAAGTGTATGTACACAAAATTGATGCTAAATAAGGTCTTGTTGTTTTGGCAAATAGTGAAATGCAAGGTATTGGTAGATCAGTACTGTTATAACTTTGGTGCAAAGTTGCTGCATGCAGATTGGCTGTGGGACCTTGTTCATTTTTTGAGAACTAATGTAGAGTTTGAAAAAACACCGTAAGCCTGCATTCCAGAAGTTCTGGTATGGATAGTGTGAGCCCAGGGAATGTGCTTAGATAAAAGCACATTTAACAAATAGGTTTTGCATTTTTTTAGCAATCAGGCTTTGTGCTGAATATTAGAGTGGTTGTTTCAGAGAGTTTGCAGCAATTAGGCTTTATTGGTGCACTAAGGAGAAGCAGAGAGGAGAAGCAATTCTTGGTAACTTCCTTGGAAGTTGCAGCTAACTCTGAAAAGTCTGGGTTGAACTAGGTAAGTAACTAATTCCTAGAATCAATAAACTTTGCAGGAGTCCGTTTGATTGTACATGTAGCTCCCTGGAATTGCTATTGGTCCCTAAATCATCAGTTTGTAATGTTGGTTTTCAAACTTGAGTGCACATCAAGTTTTGGAGGACTTGTTAGAATACAGATTGCTGGGCTCACCCCCAGAGTTTCTGATCTGGTAGGTCTGGAGCGGGACCTGGTAGATTGCATTTCTAAAAAGCGTCCAGGTAATACTGCTGCTGTTTGGGAAAGTACACTTTGAGAGTCACTGGCTTACAACAATCTCAAGGTGTTTGGATTTTTGGGCAGGGGTGCTGTGCAGGCGTTGCTGGGATCTCTTCACAGCACCTCCACTGCATAGAGGTGAGCCTCCAGATGTTTTCATTCATTCAACAAATATATGTACCTATTGTGTGCTGGGCACTGCTTAAGTTGCGAGGGGATATTGTGAAGAAAGTAAGCAAAACCCCTTTGTTTGTAGAATTTCAGTGAGCATAGTCCTGGGTTAACCTGACAACAGTCCTACTGTTTATTGATGCTTATAGGTGAGCCTATTTCTCTTTCTAGCTTTCTTCCACTTAATTTACTTTCTTTTGGAATTCTTGAATTTAGTAATAATAATATTGATGTTATTAGTCATCACTATAACTTTTTATTGAGTGTGTATTTTATGTCAGACACAGTGTGGCTAAGTGCTTTACATACATTATCTCATCTAATCCTTAGAAAAAACCCTGGTGTATTAGTCTTAATTTAAAAGATGTACTTTGGAAAGGTTAGTAGTTTACCCAAGATTATGCAGCTAGTTAAAAGTGGTGCTGGGGCTGGGCTTGGTGGCTCACACCTGTAATCGCAGTGCTTTGGGAGTCTGAGGCAGGAGGATCGCTTGACACCAGGAGTTTGAGACTAACCTGGGAAACATAGCAAGACCCCATCTTTACGAAAAATAAAAAAATTAGCCAGGAGTGGGGGTGCACACCTGTGGTCCCAGCTACTTGGGAGGCTGAGGCAGGAGGATTGCTTGAGCCCCAGAGGTTGAGGCTGCAGTGAGCCATGATTATGCCACTGCACATCTGTCTGGGTGACAGAGCAAGATCCTGTCTCCAAAAAAAAAAAAACAAAAAAAAAACAAAAAAAAGTGGTATTGGGCCTGTCTAATTGCAAAGCCACATTCTTTACTGCACGCTTTAGTCCATGGTTTTTTAAACTGCAGATCATGACCACGAATGGGTCATGAAACCAATTTGGTAGGTCTCCAACAGCACTTTGGGGGAAAAAAGGGTAGAATAGAGAGTATCACATAGTATGGACAAGCATTGTTTCTTGAAATTTTTGTTTTTGCTATGCACGTATATATGTGAATATTGAGGTCTGGTACAAGATATATTTCTCACTGTAGGTCACAGTAAAACATGTTGGTAAGCTACTATTTTCTTGGCTATGGGACTATATGTCATCTAATCACTTTTTAAAAACAGATTACAAACTGTAGGCCTTAGAAAGGTAAGTAATTTTTCAGCTGGGCATGGTGGCTCATGCCTGTAATCCCAGAACTTTGGGAGGCCAAGGCAGGCGGATCACGAGATCAGGAGTTCAAGACCAGCCTGGCCAATGTGGCAAAACCCCGTCTCTACGGAAAAAAATGCAAAAATTAGCTGGACATGGTGGCGTGCACCTGTAATCCCAGCTACTCAGGAGGCTGAGGCAGGAGAATCGCTTGAACCTGGGAGGCGGAGGCTGCCATGAGCTGAGATCACGCCATTGCACTCCAACCTGGGCAATAGAGAGAGACTGCATCTCAAAAAAAAAAAAAAAAAAAACAAGGTAAAGTAATTTTTCAAGAGCACAAAAATAGTCAGTGGCAGTACAAAGACAAGATGACTGACTTTTTTTTTTTTTTGAGACAGGGCCTCACTCTGTCACCCAGACTGGAGGGCAGTGGTGCGATGTTGGCTTACCACAACCTCCACCTCCCAGGCTCAAGCGATTCTCCTGCCTTAGCCTCCCGAGTAGCCGGGATTACTGGGGTGTGCCACTACCACCCGGCTAATTTTTTTGTATTTTTAGTAGAGACGTGGTTTCACCATGTTGGCCAGGCTGGTTTTGAACTGCTGACCTCAAATGATCCACCTGCCTCAGCCTCCCAGAGTGCTGGGATTACAGGTGTTAGCCACTGTGCCAGGCCAGATGTCTGACTTTTTAGCCCTTGGTCCATTGCTTTATTCTTCACACCATACCACTTCCTTAGAAGTGCACCTGGGAATGCCTGGGAATTGAATTTTATCTTTCCACATGATGGCAGATATGCTATGGAACCTTCAGGGATGTCGATGAAACCTGAAAAGGGAAGTTGAATCTCAGCCTGCTCTGAGTAGGTGAAAATTCTGCCTTGGATCCCCCAAAGTCTGCAGATAAAGATGTGACATTTCTCGTGTTCTGCTGTGCTTGAAGGAAAGAGGGTAATAATCTTAACAGTGCCAAGCTGTAAGCATGTTGCATATATTAACTTGTTTAATTACTAATTATTTTGATACAGCGGCCATGCCTGGGATATGAACTCAGCTGTTTTGAGTGAGAAGGGGCATCCTACCAGTGTGAGTTAACACTTCTCTGTACTCTCCCCGGTTCCTCATTTTGTTCCTGCTGAGTTCAGAGCGATGTTCCTCATAGCCTGGCTTACCTGTGGATGTTCTCAGCCTCATTTTCTTTTGTTAGATCATATATCTTCATTAGGTGGGTGATTTTGGTTTCTGTTACTTTTTCCTTAATATTAGTATATTGCTGATTTGGATCAGGGGCCAGGCTGTAGATTTTCAGCATGGTGAGGTGATAATACATGTTGGTCCCCCATGCAGAATGCTGCCTCTAGCACTTTAGCCAAAGGAGCTCTACAGTCTGTCCAGAAGTACTGGGGGACACTGGTAATAACCTGAGAACACTTACAGAGCCTTCCAGAAAGTGCCCTTTCACATCATATAAACAGATCATGGGAAGCTGAGGGAATGCAAAGTCAAGGCCTCATTGGAGAGCGGAAAGGAGGCTGAGATTGGTGGAGAGGAGTGGCTGTTACATTCTAATTAGAAGAATGACATGTTCAGGGCCATGAAGCAACTAAAGATGGGATGAAAAACTTAACTTGTGAATCGCAAAATTTGAGTAGGAAGGAGCTGGAAAGGCCTGGAAGTGTGAAGTGATTGGCCCTTGGTCAGATGGCTAGAAGATAGAGAGCCAGGCATAGAACCCAGAATCCAGGCCATCATTTTGTGGCCTCTTTTATCCTAATGACATGTTAGCCAGAGGTGTCTTCCAAAGCACCTGATTATAGGGAAGAATGAATGTCACTTACCCTAGAGTGAGTGAAATAGAGATGCCAGGAAGATATACCAGGTTTATCCAGTTTCTTTGCATTTTTCTGGCATACTGTATACTCTTGAGCGCATATGTATCCTACTTTATGAAATCTGGGGGTAAAGCAGGACCCTTCAAACCCTTAAAAAATGTATACCCCAAGAAAAACATTTTTAAAGCATGAACGCTTCCTCAAGTAAATACATATTTATACATTATATAAATGTCTGGCTATTAAACCATGTATGCATATGTTAACTCTAAGTAAAGCTTATTATATGTTTTTTAGCCCATAAATATGGAGATGTTTTAAAATTTCTTCCAGTGCCCCAGTGGATGGTCTTACACCTCCCCTGCTTCTGGGATACGCACACCTAATTTTGCAGACCACTGGTCCAGAATGTAAATTGAAGAGTTTAATGTCTAAGATATTTGTTCTTTTGTTTGTAGCTTATCTTTTACTCCCCACGTTTCAAATATCCCTTTGCAAAATAATTTTTGAGTTAAAATTTTCAATTAAAAAACTGTATCCTTGAGGTAGAAAAGATAAAGATAGAAGATATATGTGAATTAGGTTGTATCTCTCCTTAAGAGGGAATACTGTTTTTTATCTAAGGAGAACTAACAACCCTCCCTTTCATTGTCTGGGTTGGTATAAGTAAAAATCCTTGTTTGAAGTTATTAAGCCTTCCCACCCATATGATGATTAGTTTGGTTCATAAGCTAGAGTTAGGGCTTGGTAAAGGCTCCTTTTTTTTTTTTTTTTTTTTTTTTTAAAGTCTTTCCACCTTAACTAGCAAGTAAGCTAGAAATG
Organism: Homo sapiens; assembly: GCF_000001405.40. Taxonomy (NCBI): domain Eukaryota; kingdom Metazoa; phylum Chordata; class Mammalia; order Primates; family Hominidae; genus Homo; species Homo sapiens. The sequence continues at coordinate 358,671 of NW_025791753.1, forward strand.
ACAGAGCAGTAGAAGGGGGAATCTACCAGAGTGTCCTACAGGACCTTGTTGAATGCTACTGCTGCATGCAAGGGTTGTGGATTTGGTGTGGGCCTTCTGCAGTATCACCCAAATTTGAGCAGTACATGTAACTAAAAGTAAGAAAAATAAATTAGACAGTTTATTTCATTTCAGACTTTGGAAGCCCAGGACTGTGGGGATTAGCTATTAGCTAAGACAATGATTCACTGAGCAAATGCAGTGAAAGATTCTTTTGTTACACTGATCATCATTTGTGGAGAGACTCTGAAGAAGGATAAAGCTCTGGCTGCATAGTCAAACCAGACCTACTACTCAAGGACATGCATACTAGATATGTAGGTGTTTCCAAATATTTTTTTCAGTTGTGGCGGTGCAAATCATTTCAATAGTAGAGTAACTCAGTTCATTACTGTTACTGGAAAAACAAGTTTAACCAAGCACATATCCTACTGAGGGTGAGTCAACAGTGTCATTTTAACATAAGAAGGACAGTACATGAAGTGAGTTATTCCAAGTCCTGTGGTTTTCCTACAGCTGAGCAAAGACAGCTGTTCTTTCGGAAGTGGGGCTCTAAAAAGAAGTTGCCCATCTCCTTTCTTTCTTGATTATAGCCTTTTAGTTTTCTTTTGGCCTGAGACATTTCAAAAATTCATTTCCTCCTTAGATTTCTATCACCAAATACCCTGAATTTTGATAATTTATTTATAGAGTATATTATTTATTATAGACTTATTATAGTTTAAAACTTTATTTTAATTTATCTCCCATTTCAAGATCCACATTTGCTATATGTGTCAGATAATAAAAATGCCATAAGGAAAACAGAGGAGTGATCTTTTTTAATATGTCATTATTTTCTATAGTTCTTTAGTGGTATGGACATGGAATAAGGTGGCATTTTGTGGGACAGTATACCAAACTTAGTGATAAAATTTATACTTTTAATTTTGGAGGACAAAAGTCTTGTATTCTCAGCCTTGTGGATAAGACAGTGCTCTGAGCTGTCTGAGGTTTCCTAAATTGGGATTCAACATCATGAAGGGTATGTGTCTGGATCGTTTATTTGTTGGTTTGGGAAGGTGAGTTTTTGTCTTTTTTCCCCCTCTGAGTTGATTTCTTTAGTTGGAGAGAAGCAGACCAGATGAAGAAAATACTTTATCTCTTATGGCATTTTTGGTTTACCACATTAGTTATGACCCGTCTTCTCTGAGCAGCAGGCCATGCTTCTCTGTTCAGTAGTTCAGTTTTCACTAACTTAACTGCAGATGTGTTCTTGGAGGGATTTATTTCTAATCAATTGAATTATGGGTACTTGGATAAAATGATGATGGGTTACCTACTTTTAATAGGGCCGTCATTTTTAAGAGTAAAATCTTGTCAAGATAGGGTATATCATACTTATGATCTGGTTCCATCTCTAACTCCATAATTTCCTTTTGCTCCTGTGTTGCTACTCTATTATTGAGAAGAGATGGTATCTTGTCAGTGTCAATTTTACAAAGAAAAAATTCTAAACAATTTCAGTCATAGGGTAGTTTTTTTTTTTTTTTCCTGGAGAAATAATGCATAGTGTAGTATGTTGAATCCTAGAGTTGGCAAGTTTTCAAAAGTGGGGTTCTTTTGTTGTGTAGGTAGGGGTGATGCTAGTCAATGGGTGTTAGTCATTAGGGCATGTGTATGAGTGGTAGTTCTGAGATACAGCATTGGCAGCCCCTCTTGTCCCTGGTTTTGTTTTTGATAAGCAAGTCCTGGTTTTGTTTTAATAAGCAGGTCATTAGCTGATCTTTCGTGTAAATGTTTTTGATGTGCATAGCTGGTATGTGGGTGGTTACCTACCTGAGAATGTTGTAGTCACAAATGTATATTATGGAAGTTTGCAGATTATGGTGGATATCAGGTTTTTCTAACTGCGTATTTACAGATGTAGTGAGTGAAAGGAATGTTGGGTCAGTAGGTAAAAGACTTGCGCTCTGGTCCTGGTTCAGACATCTTGATTTGTGTGACTTTGGGCAAGGCCCTTATTTCTTTGAGTTGCAGTTTCTTGTGTAAAATGGTGCTAATACCAATTTACATGCCTCATAGTGTTGTTGTGGGGATCAAACGAGATCACTGTTTATGAGCAGCCTTCTCAGGAGTGAGAAATAGAGGGTTGTGAGCTGACTTTCTGATTTGTTTGGCTGAGGTGTTCACACAAGCCATAGAATGCTTTGTAGGCTTGGGTGGAGGAATGTAGATGGAAATCAGCTGAAAATCCCTGCCTATTAGAAGCTGAGATGTTAATCCTAAATATATTCTGTGGAGTACTATCAGATGCCTTGCTTTTCTTCATGATGCCCTATTAGCTTCATCTTCAGGTAGCATAGGTGCCTGTTACTCTCATTTTACTTGAAGAAACTGACCAGCCAACTGATTTAGGATATGGCTGGCTATCTTCTGGAACTCACATTAGAGTTACTCCTTGAGAGTAAAGTCTTGTATTTTCTGAAGGTTGCTGCTTTTGGGGTATTTTCCGTGGAGGTGGGTGGGCACACATAAAAACTCACTGTGCTCAAATTTATAAACTTGTTCTTCTTAACAATTTTAAAGCCAGATTACATTGGATTGGGGGAGGGGAGGATACTAGATTTATTTAGTGTTTTTTAATATAAAACTTTGTATTTGAAACTTTATGTGGTAACATATATTTAGGCTCATAGCCAAAGTGATTACAATGCATTGGTTTTAATATTTTCAGTGAGGTAATGTGTGCTTTAGTGGGGAGGAGGAGAAATATTATTTAATCACCAGCACTACACTAATAACCACATTTACTAAATCCTTTGTCCCTTTGCTTGAACTGAGGGTTCCTTGCTTTTATACTGGTTTTCCAAAGGACTTCATCTTGTTAATGTGATGAGGTGATGATGGGAAGGACATTCCCACTGGGCCCGAAGTGGTGAAACTGGTAAAACTCCCTTTGTAAGTCCCTCTTGTTCAACATGAGTGTCACTCCCATGTCCCTAAAGTAGAATGGAGTTTTATTGAAGAGAGAATTTTAAGAGTGATAAACAAAAGAGATGGAAATATCTCCTGTGCCAGGTCATTGTTACCATTAAAGACTAGAATAAACTGTAATTTTGCAGATTTTCTTTTTGTCTTATGGGAAATTAAAGACTTGGTTATCCTCTCTCGGAGGAAGATAGAAAACTACTGGGCCTGCTCATTAACAGTTTAGCTTGGCTGACATTTTTCAAGCACTTACCATGGTATTATAGCTGGGCTGAAGCTAGGTGGAGCAGACCTCACTTAGGTGTTGCCTAGCTCCAGAATCTGTCTTCTGGTGGAATTCCCTTAGGCTTCCAGACAGGAGTGGCAACAAAGCAGATGAAATGGAAGGTAGGCCAGGGCATCTGCTCGTTCGCTCGCTCGCTTGCTCTTTCTCTCTTCCCTTTTCTTTCCTTTCCTTTCCTTTCCTTTCTCTCTCTCCTTTCTTTCTTTTGCTTCCTTCCTCTCTCTTTCCCTTTCCCTTCCTCTCTCTCTTTTCTTTTTTTCTTTCTTTTTTTTCTTTTCTTTTCTTTCTTTTCTCTCTCTCTCTTTCTTTAGCAGTTTATTACTCATTTGTGAGAATCAGGGAAGCACTGGGCTCAAGAAAGCCAATACCCCTTCTAGGGCTTACCCCCCATTTTAAAATTTAATATATTGGAATTTATATTGTTTCTTTTGATCCGAGATCTTCAGGCTGAAGCTGGAGAGAAATCTTTTGACCTCTCTAGAACAAAGAAAGCCTTTATCAAAGACAATGTAACTTTTTGAGTTTGCCAAATTAGGTGTTGCTGCAAATGGAGAAACCTAGAGTTCTCTTCTGTGCTTAAAGACACAAACATGGAAAGTTTTAAGTTCCAATATGGTCACTTAATATATACAAAATTTTCTGTCTTTGCTGTCTTTGTCATTCCAGCAACAACTGGATGAGCAAATAGAATGATTGTGAGCACTTGCAAACCAAATTGTGACTGTTAGTGTGTTGAGCTGCTTTTTTATTAAAATGACTGCTACAACTCTGCAGAAATCTGAGTAGTCTTGAAGATAAATTCTTGCTTGCATTTACAATAAAGAAAGAATATGAGTAATCAAAAGGCTGATGGAGTTGGAGGACTGGCGTTTTTAAGAGGAACTGATTTGGACATTGAGATTATCAGCTCCTCATCAAATATCATTAAGTACACATTATTATTTTTTTCTGTTGACCAGGAGACCCAAGTTGTGTTGATGTGGGACATAGTTGTATGTCTGAAGAAACAAAGCAAGGGAGAATAAAATAAATAAAAATTGAAGTTCAGGAATATATATATATATATATATATATATATATATATATTTTTTTTTTTTTTTTTTTTCTTTTTTTTTTTTTCAGGCAGAGTCTTGCTCTGTCGCCCAGGCTGGAGTGCAGTGGCACAATCTTGGCTCATTGCAAGCTCCGCCTCCCGGGTTCATGCCATTCTCCTGCCTCAGACTCCCTAGTAGCTGGGACTACAGGCACCCGCCACCATGCCCAGCTAATTTTTTTTTTGTACTTTTAGTAGAGATGTGGTTTCACCGTGTTAGCCAGGATGGTCTCGATCTCCTGACCTCGTGATCCGCCCACCTCGGCCTCCCAAAGTGCTGGGATTAAAGACATGAGCCACCGCGCCTGTCCGTTTAGGGCTATATTTTATGTTTTCTTCTCCCTTTGGTATTTAATAAAGATTTGATATTTTTCTATTATCTGCTTTCCTCTGTTCCAAGGTTTTTGGCCTCAGGTGTGTTCTCTGGAAATGGCAATGATAGGCATTTATAATCTCCATATTTAGATATTTCCCTCACAGTGCTAGTTTCTGAGCTTATTAGAACCTAATGTTAAATGACGAGTTAATGGGTGCAGCACACCAACATGGCACATGTATACATATGTAACAAACCTGCACGTTGTGCACATGTACCCTAAAACTTAAAGTATAATAATAAAATAAAAGAAATATCCTGGCTATGAGTCAAGGGTTTAGGACCTTTTGAGGCACTTGGGTTTAGACAATTCTCAGTGATGTGTACTGGAATTTGGGTACAGGAATACTATTCACAGGTGAACAGAGTTTGATTTTGGCTGAAGGCATATTATTTGATCCAGATAATAATATAAAAATAATCCAAATGTTAGGACCTTAGCTTCTGCGAACCCTGACTTGAGAATAGTTAGCCATACATGTAGTTGGACTTTATGTAGGACTAACCAATCTCCTCTGCACTATTTTTGCACAGTACATTGATTATGGTATCCCTGATGACCTCTGTCCCCATCCTTGTGAGTAGCCTTCATTGCTACCACCCAAGGATGTTTTAAAAAGGCTATGAGGAAGGATGCATGTAGGGAAATCTGAGGTTGTTCTTTGGATTTTCCCTGTTTTGTTTTAGGAAGTATCCATGATTTTATATAATAATATGTAGCAATCTTAGGTTTTTCCATTTTCATTTTTAACATAATTTTGTTATTCATTCTGTTTGGGTGTCTACCTCTAAATTAACAAACATGAGAAATTGTGTACTCCATTTAAAAAGTGTCCTGAGCAATTTAAGCTAAAAGAATATGTTGTTTCTTTTGGGTGTATAGCAAGAAGATTATATATATTTATAAATTTTTTTCCAGCAAGTGTACTTAAAAGCATGTACTTAAAATTAAGGACTTAAAAAAACTAAGCTGTACTTAACAAAATAATCTTTAGAAAGCTTTAAGGCCGGGCGCGGTGGCTCACGCCTGTAATCCCAGCATCATGAGGTCAGGAGATCCAGACCATCCTGGCTAACACGGTGAAACCCTGTCTCTACTAAAAATACAAAAAAAATTAGCCGGATGTGGTGGCGGGCACCTATAGTCCCAGCTACTCGGGAGGCTGAGGCAGGAGAATGGCGTGAACCCAGGAGGAGGAGCTTGCAGTGAGCTGAGATTGCGCCACTGCACTCCAGCCTGGGCGACAGAGCGAGACTCCATCTCAAAAAAAAAAAAAGCTTTAAAAAGGGAGTTTACTAAAAGCACAGGAAATTGGTGACAGGCAAAATTTGTCTTGATAATCGTACAAATACAGATAGTGGAACAGAACAGATAATACAAGATGTAAGACAAGACATGGAATAACACTTCATATTCACTTTCTTTGACCACTAAGCAGCACACAAATATATAGCACTTTTTGTAGAGAATAATTAAATTTCTAGATATGATACAGCTTCTTCCTCTCTGTTGGATTTTATTACACTGAGATCCTGAACCTTTTGGACATGTAAACTGTGATCATGTTGGTCAGTGTCATTTGGATCTCGTTGGTGCTTATTGTTCTGCCGATGTGTATTAGTGAACCTACTCATGGGGAAGATAATACTATACAATGAATTTTCCCATTCAGTTGGAATTTTTTTATTACTCTGTTTTCTATGTTTTTCATTTAGATGTAAATTATTTTGGCTTCCATTCAACCTATTTCAGCTAGTTTTTACCATAATACACATGGCTTAAGATTTATAGGAGGCTAAGAGTGGAGAGTGTATCTTCCTTCAAACAAATGGTAAGAAAGGAACTTTCAAAACTGTTTCAGTTTTGCAAAGATTAGAAAAGTACAATTCTACTTTCTCAACTTTTCATCCTTGTTAAAGGCCTGGAAATTTGCAGCATTTTGTTCTTTCTTATTTTACTTTTCTAATTTGTTACACAAAGTGAAATTCCACACATAAACATGCAAGCTGAAGGTTGGGTTTATTCATAGGTTTTGTCTTAATTATAGATATTTAGTTTATTGAATATCTTATTGAGTATTGAGTACCTGCTGTGGTCCAGGCATCTTCTTAGGTCCCAGGTGTACAAAGAGGAGCCAATTGTGGTTACTGCCTCTATGGAATTTGCCTAGAAGTGGGAGAGAGAGAGATGAGTGAGCCAGCACTTATAATACATCTACTTAGGATAAAATGGGAGCACAGAAGAGGAACATCTGTATCAGTGGGTCTCTGAGAGCTTCTTCAGGAAAATAATGCTTTATCTGTGATTTGAAATATAGTAGGAATTTAGCAAGATAGAGAAAAAGGAAAAGGAGGTAAAATATTTTTCAGGTAAAAGAATGTACATGGGTATAGAGGTGATCATTATTAGCAAATTGGCTACATCCTAATTTGTAAGTATTTGTGGATTTTTCAAACCTTATATTTCATGTAGAAGAGCTGAATGCATTAGTCTCATCTCCAAGATCCAGGTATTGAAATTTAACCCATGCATAAATTGAATTTTTTTCTGAAGTCTTTAATAAGAGAAAAATAAAAGGAAAAACTACACAGTATATAGTAGATTTCAATATAGCACAGCAAACACTGATGATTTTTTTTTGCAATAAGTTCAATATTATAAAATAGAACAAAATTGGAATTTTTAAAACCAAAAATTATTCTAGATTTATCAGCTAACTGGAATGATTTTTTTATAGTATGAAAAGTCTATTAGTAATACAAAAAATATTCATTTATAAGTTGTTATCGTTGATTATATTTTCTTAAGGTATATTTTCAGTTTTTGAAAAGCAGTAATAATTTGCTATGACCCTATAGCCCAGTTCTTAATATCTGGATCTGATACTAGCATCTCTTAGGTAGAAAACACACTTTCTATATGATAATATCTGTAAAGAGCACATAAATCCTTGGAACACTATTAGGAAAACAAAATCGATTTATCTCTTATTGCTTTTTTTTTTTTTTTTTTTTTTCCTTTCAATCAAGACAAATTTCAAGGAGGAAGACAGATGTTTCTCCACTTCGTTTTTATTTAAATGTACCACTTGGGATTTGAAGCTTCCGCACTTCTTCTGTTTGTTTGGATTTTTTTTTCATGGCTTGATCCCAAAAAATGGAACACAAAATTTAGAGAAAGTTTTGTTTGAAATTGCAGGGCGCTATGAGAATTATTGCAAATCCCTGATGTCTCCTTGTCTGCCCTCAATTCTCCTATTTTTGGTAATAATGCAGGCAGTCATTTTAGAAAACTTTGCTTTGTTCATTTTACTGAGCCTCTTCCAGAGGCCATGTGCCAGAATCAACAGCAGCCAACCACAGCCAAGATCCTAGGGCGTAAACTCAGACTTCATCTCTCAAATATTGCTACTTGAAATTTGCATAAACGTTGAAGAAAAAGTTAAAAGAGCCTGTATAACTCCTCTTCATGTATTTTAGGAGCCTCAGACAGTCAAGACGTTAAAATACCTTCCGATTGAGCAGTGGGTCTAAGCACAGATACCACACTGCAGATAGGGAGAAGGATATGAAAAAAATCATGTGAGATAGACGACAGAGGCTTATTTGAAGAAGCTACAAAGCAACAAGTAATGCCAGTTTAAAACGATTACATGTTAATGCAACAAGTAAAACACATTGAAGGCTTCTCAGATTACACTGGCTGAAGTACAGACTTAATTACTCATGTTAGAGATTCCTAAAACAAAGGGAGGCTTTTAAGCCAGTGATATGTAGCTGGTATGATACTGAAAAGCATTGGAAAACTTAGGTAAATGCCTAGAGGAAATTTTAAGGAAGATTCCATCAAGTCTGGATACCTTAGCCTTATCCTTAAATGAATAAATTTCTGAGGCGCTGGAACTGGTTAAAATCAATGGCAGCTTATTCTGTTGTTTGCAGTTTTTATGTACAATTGGGGCTGATAAACCTGAATAAATAAAAGAGCCTTGTCTGGATTGAGTTACAGTTAGTGCTAAACATCAAGGGTTCATATTGTATTTCTTAAAAGTTCTTTTTGGAGTGATTCCAAGATTGGTATTAAGAGGGTATGCCAAGGGTATATATTGGCAATTTTTATTTTGTTTGTATTTATCTTAGAGTCATTTGGGTAGGTCACATTCTCTCTGCCCCTACTCCCAACTTCTCATTAGATTGTAAGGACCATGAGGACAGAGATTGTTTGTTTTATTTGTGCTTAATTTTCATGCAGTGCCTAGTAGGGGACAATGCTGACAGTAGTTTCTCGACAAATATTAGTGGAACTGTATTAAAATTGAGTTTTTGCTCACATATATTGTTTATTTTACCTTTAGTGGATCACTTCTCCTTATGCCTTCAGTGCTATAGTTTTTTAAAAGAAGTATGTTAGTCTGTTTTGCATTGCTCTAAAGGAATACCTGAGGCTGAATAATTTATAAAGAAAAAAGGTTTATTTGGCTAATAGCTTTGCAGATTGTACAAGAAGTTTAGAGCCAACATCTGCTTCTGGTGAGGGCCCAAAAAACTTTCATGGCTGAAGGTGAAGAGGGAGCAGGTATGTAACATGGCAAGAGAGGAGGGAGCAAGAGAGATGTCAGTCTCTTTCAAACAACCAGCTCACATGGTAGCGAGAATTCACTCATTACTGTGGGTGGGCACCAAGCTATTCATGAGAGATCTGCCCCCATAACCTGAACACCTCCCAGTAGGCCCCACCTTCAACATTGGGGATTACGTTTCAACGTGAGATTTGGAAGGGACAAAATAGCCAAACTATATCAAGCACAAAGAAGATACAGAGATAGTCAATGGTGGAGCTAGTATTCAAACCCAGATTTGTCTGATTTCTGCATCCGTGCTTTCAACTGCTTAACTGCATTGCTTCAAATACTCAGAAAAGACGAAATGTTTTCCATATCCCAGGAACTTAAAAGTGAAAAAGCAGAGAGCTAGAAGACCATGTAGTGCTGAATTGAGAGTCATGAGTGTTACAAGGATAGGGGGTGGTGGCCCTGTGAGGACCAGAACCCTCCAGGGGAAGCTTTCTGGGTGAGGCAAGAGGTGAACTGGGCCTTGAAGGAATGGGTAGAATTTAGATAGTAATGAGGAAGGCAGAAATCAGTGGAAGCACAGACATGCATGGAGGAATGGAACTGAGTTCAATGACGATCTGTTCAGGAAAGAGGGCATAAACTGGGCAGAGAATGCAGTGGAAGTGGTGGGGAGTAATACTGGGCAGGTAAGGTAAGCTCTGATCTGGAAGGCCAGCATGGGAGCCTAGACTGGTTAAAGTAAGAAATGGCTTGTCCTTGGAAGAAAAAGTGTCAAACTTGGTACTGTGTGAAGGTACTGCACAGACCTCCCAACTGGTTCTTAAGAGAGCCAAACTGAGGCTAAGTTCTGAGAACTAAGTAAGAACTGACAGCCCTTGTAGGTTAGAAAGTAGTGGGGCAACATGTTACAAGTAGTGCTTCTGGAAGGTTAGATGCGGTTAGAATAAAATCATTGCCATTTTGGGGAGCTGGGAAAATGGATGTCTTCAGTCTAGTCTAAAAAGGGATGACTTGAATAAGCTTATATAAGAAAGAAAAGAAAAACCTTTTTACTCACTGGACCATTTCATAATCTTGACTTTTCTCAAACATAAATCTGTGTCATTTTTCTTATTTAAAACAGCTGAGTAGTTTACTCTCCTACTTAGAGCTGTGATTCTTATCATGGGCTCTTGTGATCTAACCCCAGCCTGCCTCCCTGGCCTCTGTCCTTGCTTAGTAACCTCTAGCCATATGAACCTGGAATACCAGTCTAATTCCCACTTCAAGGCTTTTACACTTGTTGTTTCCTCTGCCTGGGGTGCTCTTCCCTCATATCTTCATGACACTTGTTCATTTACATTGTAGCTCAAAGCATACCTCCTCAGGGAGGCCTTTCCTAGACACTATCTGAGGTACACTCCTGCACCCCCAGCCTTCATGATTGCTTTTTATACATTACTGGGTTTTGTTTCCAATGGAACTTATCGCTTATTACTGTCCTAAATTATTTTATTAATTTTTTAGCCACCTTTCTCTTATAGAAATAAGGTTCCTGAGGACAGGGAGTTTATTCTGTATACTACGGTATCCCTGACATCAGGGCTTGTGCCTGCCGATAGTAGATGCTTTCTAAATATGTTCTGAATATTAGATAGCTAGTTCCCAAATGCACTGCACTGAAAGTGTATGAAAATTGGAAATTGGCTTCTAGATTTTTGTATTATATTGCCAAATGATGGAGTGATGAGATTGAAATCTACTACTTCTTTTTGCTTTTTTTTTTTTTTTTTTTTTTTGGTGGAGTAGAGGAGGGCCTGCACAAACAGCAGAGACACACACAGTAAATAAGATTTATTTCAGCCAGCAAGTATTTATTGACATGAAAATTGGGGTTAAATGTGACTCTTTGTGAGTGACTAGTTTCTTGGAGTCTATTAAAGCATCAGTTTAAACATCAATTCTCTATGGTATGATTAATGTTTCTTTTTTTACTTTATAAGCATGAAGCTGCCTTCAATTTTATTGTTAAATTTAAGTGTTTTACATTGGAAAAAAGTAAATTGAATTTTGAAATGAGGTCTGTCCCGGTCTCACTTTCATGGCTTCAGGTTATCAAAGTTTTAATTTCTCTTTGTGTGGAAGATAATTATAGTATTCATTTTTGCTCCTGAGTAAAGCCACAAGTCTCAAGATTATTTTTCTTTTTTTAAAAATTAGAATTGTCAATTTATAGTTGTATACATTTATAGGGTACAAAGTGATGTTATAATTTGCTAATACAATGTAGAACAATTAAAAGGTAGTGTATCCTTCATCTCAAATATTTAACATTTTTTGAAATTTACTCTCTTAGCAATTTTGAAATGTACAATACCCTATTATTAACTATATTCACCACTCTATGCAATATATCTCAAACATATACAAAAAAATTCTTCTTGTGTAACTGTAGCTTTTTGTACCCATTGATCATCAGGCCCACAGCTTCCGTAACCACCATTTTCCTCTCTGCTTCTATGATTTTGATGGTTTTCAATTCTACGTATAAGTGAGAACATGCTGTATTTGTCTTCCTGTGCCTTATTTCACTTAGCATAATGTTCTCCAATTCTATCCATGTTGTCTCAAATGACAGAATTTATATCTAAAGGTTGAATAGTATTCCATTGTATATATCTACCACAGCTTTTTTTTTTTTTTTTTTTTTTTTTGAGATGGAGTCTCTCTCTGTCACTCAGGCTGGAGTACAGTGGAGCAATCTCGGCTCACTGCAACCTCCGCCCCCCAGGTTCAAGTGATTCTCCTGCCTCAGCCTCCTGAGTAGCTGCGATTACTGGCGTGCTGTAATTTTTGTACTTTTAGTAGAGATGGGGTTTCATCATCTTGGCCAGGCTGGTCTTGAACTCCTGACCTCGTGATCCACCCGCCTCAGCCGCCCAAAGTGCTGGGATTATAGGCGTGAGCCACTGTGCCCAGCCTATCTACCACCTTTTATTTATCCATTCATCTGTTGATGGACACTTCCATAACTTGGTATGGGTGTACAGACATCTTTTCAATAAACTGATTTAAAATATTTGGGGTAAATACGCAGCAGTGGGATTACCAGATCATGTGGTGATTCTATTTTCAGTTTTTTGAGGAACGTCTGCACTGTTTTTCACAATGGTTGTACTAATTTACATTCCCATTAACAGAGTAGAAGGGTTCCATTTCTCCACATCCTGTTTATTCAGACAATATGTTATCATCTAAATCATCTAAGACCTCTATATTATATAGCTTTTGAGTATTTTTAAAAGTGGACACTCAAGCGTTCATATAGTCATAGTCAGTGTGTGGTTCCTCAGACCTGTGGTATCAACATCACCTGGGAATTTGTTAGGAATGCAGATTCCCAGGCTCCCTGCGGACTTAGTCAGAAATTGTGGGGGTCGAGTCTAACACTCTTTTTTAAAAAGCCCTCCAAGTGATTCCAATGCTTACTAAAGTTTGAGAACCATGGCTCAGTAAATGCTAAAGGTTCAAGGTAGCATGATCCCACACATCAGCCAAGTGGCATTAATTATTAGCCTGGTAAGCCCACCTTCTTTTCAGTCACTGAGTTTGATTGGTTCACTAGGGCTAGGCTGTAAAGTTATTTGCTAGATTGATTGCTACATATTGACTTTGGGTTGCTTGTATTTCTCTGAACCTGTCACTGTAATGATTTGTCAGGACACTTAATAGGAACAGGCCGTGATTTTTGCACCCATGGCATTCTGAGTCATGGGTGGCTGGGTCATTATGTACTCCAGGTTTCTTCAGGCACTGGGCATGCCATTCATGTACTTATAAGGAGGGAGCTGTTGCTGGTGGATCACAGGGAACCTTTAGGGACATTTAGTTCGCTCTCAGCTTGGTACAGGTAGGGAAATTGAGCCCCCATGAAGTTGTGCTTTGCTTGCAGTTAGGGGTACAGACAGGATTTCAGGTCTCCTGAGTCCCTCCACTGCACCAGGATTCCTGCAGGGGGACAGAGCTACAGCTTTTTCTGTGCCTACAGGACATTCCTTTCCTACTGTGAGGGTTTTATTTATTTATTATTTTATTTAAAGAAAAAAAGTAAATAGAAAAAACCCCGGAAGTTCTCACTGAAACTAATAAAAGTGTCTAAAGAGAATGAAAAAATCAGTTTGAGAACTTTGGTATGGAGGAAATAACCTGACATTAACTGTTTTAATTATAGTTGTTGCATTGGGCTTATCAGTGTGGGAAGAGGGAGCATTTGAGCCTTACAGGGAAGTGGGATATGGACAACAAGATGACCCTCTTCCTGAATTTGCCTGTTTGGGCCTGCAGCCTGGTGACTCTTTGTGTGATCCCAACAGCTGTCATAGAGATGGGTTGGACTTTTACTGAGACCTGGGTCCTAGGCCCAGCACTGCCACCAGCTAGTGGCGCAATGCCCCATAAAGAGGCCACTTATTCTCTCTGGCCTCTACTATTGGTAAATGGGTATAATAATATCCACGCTGCCAATCCTGAGAAATTTCAGGTAATGGGAAGCAGTGTATCTTGGTGGTTAAGGGCAGAGTCTCTGGATTCAAATTCTGGCTTTCTAACTCACTGGCATGGCAGTAGGCAGGCCACTTATCCTCCCTGTTTTCTCACCTGAGAGTGGGTATAATGAAATTTACTTCTAAGGGTTGTTGTGAAGATTGAATTAGTTAGCTAATTTATGTAAAGTACTTAGGATAGTGCCTGGTATTTAGTAAGTTCTATGTGTTAGCCTATTATTATTATTACTATTACCATTTAAAAATATTATTTCAAGGATGGGATGCATTTTCTGTAAACATGTTCTCAAATGATTCTACTACTGGATACAATACTGGGCTTTTATGCAGTAATTGTTGTTGGAGGAGTTGTTCTGACATCCAGCTTGCACCTGGGCTACTGGTTTCGTGGCCAGGGATGGCCAGGCCTAGCGTCTCTCTGATCTTGCACAATTTATGCATAGAGTGGTGTGGTTAGAGGAAACTTGGAGGGGGGAACTTCTCAGTTTTGCTTTCAGGTATTTATACATTAACTATCATAAGAGATGGACATCTTAATAACTTCCAAGAAAGAGTTCATGAGCTTCAATTTGATATTTATTGTTTGACTAGGTTTCTTTCTGTCTTACCTTTCCAGTTGTTAGGGTTCTTGATATGTATTTTGGTGATGAAAATTTCAACTCTAAAAGCTAAACAATCAAGATATTGTAATTATCCAGCAAGTGATTGGCAGATTTCGAGTAGACTTCTTCCATTCTTGGCTGAAATCAATGAAAATGTCTACTATTGCTGTTGTTTTTGTTCTTTTCTCTGAAAAGTCTGTTTTTGGGAGGGCCTCAGATGGTAAAGTGCCTTTTTATTGTCTCTTAAAGGGAATGGGGGAATCAACAGTTTGAGAATTTTTGTTTTATCTGTATGTATAAAATTGCCTTCTCCTTTTATTTCTTTTGATACTCTCTCTGCAGTCTCTATTCATGATCTACTCCCCATCTTTTTATGGGCCCCTTAAAGCTAGAGATTATGTTTATTCGGTTATTTATGTATTCCATTTCTCCTTTTTTCTGGATCCTAATTTTGTGCCTGGTGCATACTAGGCTCTCAATTTTAGTTTGTTGAATTACTGTTATTGCTGTTTCTGATTACTTCTTGAAGCGGTCTGTTTTAAAACTTCACCTGAAGGCTAAGTAATTCATCAGTATAATGGTGATCTATTATTTATCTAGCATTTTCCTAAACACTCATTGATGAATCCTTATAATACTCATCTGAAGTATCTAAATCCCAAGATGATGTGTCATGCCATAGATGGTATGGCTTTAATTTTTAATTGGGAGATGGAGATGTAACAGCTGGAGATACTAAAACACAGAGAAATAAGAGCATCATTCAAGACCACAAATGTGGTTATTGTTGGAAGATAGTTTTGGGATGGGCTTCTGTGCTAGAAGCCAGAACATAAAAAACTGATTAAAACTCTAAAAAGAAACCCAGATTAGGTGGGAATGAATGCTGATCTGGATTGGATTACACTTCTTTGGTGTCTGAGGGTTATGATTAGTGACTTACTTCTAATGTGCATTTGTTTTTATTTTTAGCATTGCAGTGTCGAGATGGCTATGAACCCTGTGTAAATAAAGGAATGTGTGTTACCTACCACAGTGGCACAGGATACTGCAAGTAAGTTTTTCTCTTCATATATTTTCTTTTTGCGATAGAACACTGGACAAGATTTGATTCTACTCCTCTATTTTTAATGCTTCTGTGGAATGTTACTGGTTCTTGAGCTTTCCTGGTACAGATTTTGGTTGGGGGTGAGGATGGAAGGATGTGGATGCCAGATAATTGGCTAATAAGAACTTCTTACTATCTTACTGTTATCTTTCTCACTATGAAAAAGACTTTTCAGTGAGTGGCTAGTTAATGTATATGGGGTAGACCAGGCATGGTGGCTCATGCTGGTAATCCCAGCACTTCAGGAGGCTGAGTTGGGCGAATCACGAGGTCAGGAGTTCAAGATCAGCCTGGCCAACATAGTGAAACCCTATCTCTACTAAAAATACAAAAATTAGCCAGGTGTGGTGGCGCATGACTGGAGTCCCAGCTACTCGGGAGGCTGAGGCAGGAGAGTGACTTGAACCCAGGAGGCGGAGGTTGCAGTGAGCTGAGACCACATCATTGCACTCTAGCCTGGGTGACAGAGCAAGACTCCGTCTCAAAAAGAAATAAAAAAAATATATAAAAAAATATATATTAGATTCCCTTGTGTTTTTCAGATTAAGGCATACTCTTAGAGTCTCCCCTTAACATGTTACCTATTATCTTGTTTTTAAGTAAAACCAAATAGATATCAACTTTAATATTCGGCCCAGTATATGTGAATATTATATTCATATTTTTTTCTAGTGTAAAAAATCTAATTCTGAAAGTGAGACAGTGAGAGAGGAAGATGTGTGCATGTGTGTAGATTGAGGGGGAGCAGGGGCTTTGGGTGTGTATTATTATATGGGGATAAAAGAGTAAGGATGAAGGAAAATGTAGGCTAGTTCTTGGCTTAAGAGCATTTTTTTTTTCCTTTTTCTCCAACCATCTACTCTAGCCAAGACGTTTTGTTTGTTTGAGGAAGGCTGTGAGATAATTTCATAATAGCTTTTCTAGGTTTCCTGCAAATAATTTTTTTTCTTCTGCCTCAATTGAAAATTTTTAAGAGGAATATGTATCCATTCTTTTTATTTCAGGGAAGATGCTGGAGAAATAAAATTTGGTAATATGAAATTTCTCTTCTTTTCCTTCATTTTTGTGAGGAGTAGTTGTTCTTTGCTTTGGTGGAGGTACTTGCTTAGTAAGCATTTTAAGTGAGTTTATCCAACACATTTTTATTTCTTACCAGGAATGTAATTACAACTTTTTTCCAGTGAGATCTGTTCTGACACCAGGATTTAGTTTTTTAATGTTATAAACAAGATTTTTTTTTTCAAGTCAGAAATAATTTTCTTCACTAAAGTGAAAATATTTTAAGCTGTGATGACAGTAAAGCTTAACAATAGGTTGTTTGGATTGGAATAAAGATAACATTGGAAATAAAGGTTTTATGTAGCTTATTATGAGCTGCTCATTTAGTTTTTCTAGCTGGGGGAAAAAAAAAACATGTGGTGCATTCTCCTCTAAGAATGGAGATACAACTGGAGATAATAAGGGAGGGAACTTAATACCTTAGAGTAGGCCACTGAAATCTTGTTTAGTCTTTTTGTGGCATTTGGTGCCTTAGTTGCTTGCTTTATTCTGTTATGCAACTCTTGTGGTAGTTAACCCCATTGCATTATGGTCATTTGTTGATGTGTTTCTTTTGCTAGAATGTGAGGTCTTAGTCTTATGCATTTTTTGCATAGTTAATGCCTAGTACAGTGCCTGGTGTAGTTATTGTTCAGCAATGTGTTTCTTAAACTAAAAGGTGCTAAGTAGATACCATCATGCACATGTTTCTTATCTATTTATGTTAAATAAGAAGACACTGGTTCTCTCCTTTAAAAATTTCAGTGTGGCGATTCCTCAAGGATCTAGAACCAGAAATACCATTTGGCCCAGCAATCCCATTACTGAGTATATACCCAAAGGATTATAAATCATTCTACTATAAGGACACATGCACATGTGTGTTTACTGCAGCACTATTTACAGTAGGAAAGACTTGGAACCAACCCAAATGCCCAACGGTGATAGACTGGATAAAGAAAATGTGGCATGTATACACGATGGAATACTATGCAGCCATAAAAAAGAATGAGTTCATGTCCTTTGCAGGGACATGGATGAAGCTGGAAGCCATCATTCTCAGCAAACTAACACAGGAACAGAAAACCAAACACGGCATGTTCTCACTCATAAGTGGGAGCTGAACAATGAGAACACATGGACACAGGGAGGGGAACATCACACACTGGGGCCTGTCAGGGGGTGGGGGGAAAGGGAGGGGAGAGCATTAGGATGAATACCTAATGCACGTGGGGCTTAAAACCTGGATGACGGGTTGATAGGTGCAGCAAACCACCATGGCACATGTATACCTATGAAACAAACCTGCACATTCTGCACATGTATCCCAAAACTTAAAAGTAAAATTTAAAAAAAATTTATTTACTTCACATAGCATTCAGGGTGGTAATACCATACAGAGAGGCAAATTGGTTCTATTTGAAGATCATTCAACTTGGTGACTTATATATGGAGAATTTCAAATATGTTCTAAGTGTTCGCCTATATATTTTTGGTCTGACATGGGGAAAGAAGGTTTCTAGGGGAGACTAATCTCTGAGCACTTACCAGGAGAGGACACCTAAGGGTCACTGTTGGGAAGAAGTCCAATAGTTCTTTGTTGGACTGTTGGGCTGCTAGTCTCATACTCTCCAACCAAGGTTGGAGACCATCCTGGCTAACACGATGAAATCCCATCTCTACTAAAAATGCAAAAAAATTAGCTGGGCGTGGTGGCACGCACCTGTAATCCCAGTTACTCGGGAGGCTGAGGCAGGAGAATGGCCTGAACCCAGGAGGCGGAGCTTGCAGTGAGCCAAGATTGCACCACTGCACTCCAGCCTGAGCGACAGAGCGAGACTGTGTTTCCAAAAAAAAAAAAAAAAAAAGAAAATGGAGCTGCCTAAATTCTGTCCCTGGCTACTTGTTAATTGTTGATAGGATGGAATGCTTATGGATACAGTTCTGGGTATGTCCCTCAGATGTCTTTCCTGTTTTGAGGGAAACAAACTCCTTGAGAGAGAGTAAGAAAAAATTTGGTGAGGCCATCCTTTTGGGAGACCAAGATGAACAACAAAACTTGTATAAAGAGAGTGATTCCCTACCTCAGCAAAAGTAATATTAGCATATTTAGGAGTGGCAGGGTCAACATAAGTGGACAAAGAAAAAGCAAGAACAATATCAAGGCAGCCATGTCAATCATTCTACAGTGCTTTGCCAGCCTCCACAGAATTTTAAGCAAAATTTTATGCAAAAATAATGTGTACCTAGCAGAGCTTTCAGTGTATTTTCACCAACCTTACCTTTTTTTCTGTGGAGAAAGAAGATGATCTAGCTTGTTCAGTAAATATTATTTTCACAAAATAGAAAATAAATATTAAAACACTTAGAAGATTTAAAAAAATTCTATCAGGCATGCAGGGCATGTGATTATCTTTTTATTCATGCGATTGCTTAGTGGATTAAGAAAAGAAAGTTGAAGCCAAATTCCTTTTACAGGGCCAGCGTGGGGGTGAGTGGTGAGTGGTGGGATGGGAACTGGTAGAAAGTGTTTTAAAATAGAAGGAATCTGACTATCTGTTTAGACAGCATAATGCTACTGATTCAGCTAAAATATAATGATTGTTTATAGAAATTATAAAAATCCTTGATAAGATCACATTGACAGATGAAGATAACTACTTTTGAAGATTAGTTTTGTACTCAGCTCCACTGTTTTTTCTCACTGTTAGGAGCCTAAGTACCCTATCAGTCTGTGATTAGATTTTGATGCCAGATTAGGAGAACGTGTATAATCTTGCATAAAACTCAATTATTGCTGTTAAATAACTACTGTCAAATCTTAATAAAGCCCTCTCACTACAGGGAGATAAGATATTTTATTCTTTCCCTTGTCCTACTGGGAGGTGTAAATATGTAATTAAATTTGATGTCATTAATCACTTTCAAGTTGTTGTTTGCTTCAGACTTTCAAATATAAACCATTCTAAATCCCAATTTGATTAAAGATCATGGACAACTCAAGTTCACTAGGATTCTGGGGGTAGGTTAGGTTATGATTTGTATAATTGACAAAATATGTATTTTAAGGACATTTATTGTAGTTATTTAAAATCTTTGTCTGCTGGTTCTTAACAACTGGGTTGTCTATGGATGTGTTTCTATTTCTATCAACTGCTCCTTCTTTGGACCATGGGTATGACTTCCCTTTACTTTACACATGTATGGTAGTTTTACATTACTTACTGGACATTGTGGGTGATAGATTTTAAAGTTTATCTCCCACTAAAGAATGTTGAATTTTGTCAAGATTGGCAGATCATCTTGATCCTATGGATGCTAGGTTTTAGGACACGTTAGGGTGGGCCTACTTCTGTTCTGCCCTTAGTCCGATGACACAAATCTTAGTCATGGGATAGGGCTCTTATTCCCAAGATGGGACCCTTCTAGGGGTTCAGTGGAAAGTGTGAGGGGCCTACCAAGCCCTGAGGTGTTCATTAAGCCCCTCTAAGGCAGAACTTGTCCTCCCAGCCCCAGGAGCCTTCTGCTCAGTCTTTTCAGCCGTCCAGCTCTTACTTTCTCTTGGGTTTCTGAATCTTATCTTGCTCATGCATAGTCAGGAATTATTTAAGGATTTGAGCAGAGTTGTATGCATACTTTGAAGCTACCCACTCTGTGGTTCTGTCTTTTCCAGGAATTTTTCTCCTCATATTCTAGCTGCTGTGACAGCTCCAGATACCTCTGACTCCTCAGTATCACAGGACTTCCGTTTTCTGCTTGCACACTCTTCCTCTTCTGCTGCATGAACTGGGGTGTACCTTCACGATAAAAAAAAAAAACAAAACTGTAAATGTGGGTTTCATATAGTTTGCTTCGCTTTTTCTGAGGCTTATATCCCTTCTAGTTTATGCCTGCTTTCAGTGATTCTCCAGTGCCTTTGATATTTTGTCCAGAGCAAGAGGGCTAGTCTGATATAAGTTACTCTGCAATTATTTTTAATGATGAAAATTGGAAATATAAAGGGGCCTTTCAGAATTTCATACATACCACTTGGTAAATATCTAACATAGTGTTTGTAAAACAGCAGAAAGTCACTGTGAGTTGTATACGTTCCTGTAGATGGGTGCTTGCATTTGAGAATGTCCACTTTTTGCTAAAGTGCTGATCTAAAAACTACACTTTAAGGTAAATTATTATAAATATAAAGTGTTATAAAATATAACTTTGTGTCACATTTTGTCTAAAACTTGTCTGCTAGCTGTAATAAACATTAAACATTAACAGCTAACAATTTTCCTTGCCAGGATTAGGCAGTCATGTTGGTGGTCCAGATTTCCTGAATCCATCCAAGAAAAACTAGAGCCATTGCCTTCTTTGTCTTCTTGGTAAATGTCTGTATAGTAAGTAGAGAGTAGAGACACTCATAATCCCTTAGAACTTAGCTTTTTATGGAGGATGCATTCGCAATGGTTCTGTTGTGGTGCTTCTCCCCCAAAAAGGCGTTTTCAGAAGTCATGGCTGACTCAGCATTTCCCCTTTTCCTTCACCTTCTTGTGAGTGCATTCAGGGAGGCACAGGGGCATTGTCAGATCAAAGAAATAGACAGGGAAAAATATCAACTGTTAAATTACTTTCTCTTTCTTCTCAGCTGAAACTGGTTCTGCCAGCCTAGTTCCTTCAAGTACGGTGCCTATTTAGCTGAACATTGTGTATATAGTTTTTCTGGAAAATGATAGCAGAAGCTTGGCCAGTTTTCCATAGTTCATTTATCTTTTTAACATAAAACAAAGAATGCTGTTTTTTTGGCTCATTAAATACCTCTCATAGAGTAATCTTTTCTTAAAATGTAATGTGTTCAGGTTTTATTAATTCAAGAGTTATTTATTGCATGCTATTTATGTGTACCACATATAACAGATAACTCAAGTCTGTGGTAGTAGTTGCAGTTAATCAATATTGTTATCATATTATTTCACACTTCTTTGGGAAGTCATAAAATAATTACCAGTTCATTAACTTGGGCTTCTTAGAGAGGTTCAGAGTAAAGCCAAGTATGAAAAAAACTGACTATAATGTGGCCTTCTGTACAGGGGCCGCCAGTGAATGGCAGGGCTGGGACCATGGTGAGGCAAGTAAGGCACAGGCCTCTCTTGTGAAATTTAAGAGAGTGCCAAAAAACTCACTAATCAAAATAATGTTTGTATGTAGTTGTTCAAAAAATCAAAATTAATGCAAAATAAGTTGAAAATTATCAAAATTTTAAATAAGGAGATCAGTACTACTGATTTTTTCTTTTGCCTTATGATCTAGTATGGTTCAGCCTGCACTGGTGAGTGGAGTAAGGGTCCTGGAAGATCCTTGACTGGTGACATGAAGAGGACATAGTTTTTTGTTGTTGTTTTTTTTTGAGACAGAGTCTCGCTCTGTGGCCCAGGCTGGAGTGCAGTGGCGCTTTCTTGGCTCACTGCAAGCTCCGCCTCCCGGGTTCATGCCATTCTCCTGCCTCAGCCTCTCAAGTAGCCGGGACTATAAGCGCC
This sequence comes from Homo sapiens, assembly GCF_000001405.40. Classification (NCBI taxonomy): domain Eukaryota; kingdom Metazoa; phylum Chordata; class Mammalia; order Primates; family Hominidae; genus Homo; species Homo sapiens. The sequence continues at coordinate 380,811 of NW_025791753.1, forward strand.
CGCCACCACGCCCGGCTAATTTTTTGTATTTTTAGTAGAGACGGGGTTTCACTGTGTTAGCCAGGATGGTCTCTATCTCCTGACCTCATGATCTGCCCGCCTCGGCCTCCCAAAGTGCTGGGATTACAGGCGTGAGCCACCACACCCAGCCGAGGACATAGGTTTTTTTATGCCAGATAGACTTAAGTTTGAGTCCTGATTCCTATTAACAATTGGATCTTTGGCAAGTTAAAGTCTATAATGCTAGCTAACATTATTGCATATTAGGGTCTGTTCTCAAGTAGTTTAACATGTATTTACTTTAGTCCTCATGTGAGAGAGAGACTATATGGAAGCTAAGAGAAGTTAAATAATTCACTCAAGATCCCATCACTCTGTAGCTAACCTGAGATATACTCGTGGAAAATGTACTGTCACCTTGAGTCTCAGTTTGCCTGTCAATAAAATGGGACAGAATTACCTGTTTTAAGTTGGTAGTTCAAATGGAACCTTCTGAAAAGGAAGTGTGGAACATTTGAAAGTATACAAAAAGGGGACTTTTCAGATCAGGAATATGATTAAAACACTGATTTATGTAATTTCTAAATTTAAAGACAGTAGCATTAGGTAGGCCTGAGTACCTCATATCATTCTAGAACACTAAATCTGCATATAGTTACATGAGTGTACATGGGCCAGGTTTGGTGAATACTGCATTTCTGAGAAATGGCCTTTAACATGAAAGCTCAATGTAATAACTGTGGATGAAATAGAAGAAGAGGGCAGTGAAGGTGGGGATAGAGGATATTGTCTATTAAAGTGTGCTTCAGTAGAGAGAACTAATTTGAAACTTCTCCTTTCTTTTTACTAATGGAACAGGAGCAAGTCCAGACAGATTTATGCAGTTGTGAAATTGAGACAGGTTAAATTCAGTGATTTTTGATAAATGTTGTTGCCAGCACAAAAGTCACAAGTTGTTGAATATGGCACCTTACATTTGCATAGTGAGTTACAGATGCATATGAGTATGTCCTGTGAGGCTTTTCCTTGTATTAGGACTTGAGATCTGGACCCTTTAACAGTACCATTCCTAAGTGATTCTTATTAATACTTATGTCCTATTAAAATCCTTTATCAAATATGATGTTTCCCTAAGGGGTCTTTTGTAAAGGAAGTCTTGGTTACTAGCATCTCCATCTGTGGCCCAGGCTTGAGTGCAGTAGAGCAATCATGGATCACTGCAGCCTCCACCTCCTAGGCTCAAGCCATCCATCCTCCTGCCTCAGTCTCCCATTTTTAAAACTTTTTATAGAGACACGGTCTCACATGTTGCTCAGGCTGGTCTCGAATTCCTGGGCTCAAGTGATCCTCCCACTTCTGCCTCCCAAAGGGCTGGAATTACAGGCCTGAACCACTGTGCCTGGCCAGTTAGTAGCTTGTTAACACATAGCAACATAATTTCCATACTATTTTCAACTAATTTTTATTCTTTCAGTTGGGACCTTTATATATTTCAGTGTTCAGTGAAGAAGTAGGAGAATCTGGTTCTTAGGCTCTGCCTATATCCTTTTACCTGTCTTGGGTAACTGCCAAGAAATTAAATCAACAAATTTTGGCCTGCAGTCTGGCATTAATAGATGTGAATTTAGCTAGGTTTCTTTCAACACAGTCTCCAGGTCAATCGTAATCTTATGTGAAGTTTCTTATTCAGGCATGTCTCATTAGCACCATTAATTTCACACAGGAATTCTTTTTTTCTCCCTTTTTTTGTGACTAAGCAAAATGAGAAATATTTCTCTTTCAGGATATGGAGAGGCTTAATTAAATTCTTTAATTTTGTCTACATCTGCCCTTATGAATGATAGCAAAGGAATGGGGGATATCAGAATATGAGAAAAAGTAATCATCTAAAAATTTCCAAGCACTTTAAAATTTGTTAAGCTAGCATAAATATGTGGGTGTGATAGAGGTTTTCATTAGGCCTCCTCTCAACATACAGTAGTTAGGAATGAAGTTTAGTGTCTCTCCGTCCTCCTGTCATATGTGTGTATGCACACATGTGTGCACATGCGACTGTGTTATGCATTTTGTTTTCATATTTCTTTTAGTTGAGTTTTACCTTACAACCCAACGTAAGGTAAATTAAAATTTCTATTGGATTTCCGCACATTTTCTAGATCCTATTTATTCACTGTCAGTGACCTTCACTAGCACTTAGTCCTCTGTGTCCAAAAATGTATTGCCAATTCTTAGACTCCATCAGCCTTCTCCTATGAAAAAGTAATGCAGTTAATTTCTGCTCGAAATGCTCTTCTCCTAAACAGTCTTCTACTTGATCTTTATGAAAAGAGTTTTATGAAAGAAAAGTGAAAATAAAGACTAAGAAAGGCATTATTTAAGTGATGGGTGATATTATTCAGCGAACACATTCAACTAGAGCATTCTATCCAGTTTTTTGCCTTCACGTAAATATGAGGAGAAAGGTAGGTGTTAATAAGAAAATAATCTGATTAGGATTTATGTAGAATGGTAGCATTTAGAGTATTAAATCTGTATAGATTCAGGTCATTTTCCTGCAGTCACTGTCTATAATCCTGTGTGCTGAACACTGAAAGTTAGATGGACTCTGAAGCACTATAGAATCCTCACTTTTCAAACAAAAGTTTAATTTTTATCACACTAGTATTTATTGAGCAGGCTACTATAACTGATCACTGTACTGGGTATTGTGAATACCCAGAAAAGCCCAAGAGGCCTGTGTTACCTGACTTCCTTATTCACAAGTATACGTACCCAGAGACTGTCTGACAGTGAATGCAGTTTCTCCTGCATAAGACATGGTGGCAGTCTTCTGAAGTCTTGCTGGGGAGATGAAGCATACAGAGATGTGTAAAATAAAACAGTTTGTAATATCCCAGTGTAGGGGCACAGATAATAACTATGGACACTCAGACAAAGGAACAAGTACTGTGGGACAAAAGAGTAAAATCAGAGGACTTTTGGTGCACTGCTTAGATCCTAAATCTTTGAATATTAGTGGTGCCTTAGAAGACGGATAGGTAGGAGAAGGGTGAGAGGAAGGGAGCTGAGGAGACTAGAAGGGACTGTTATTTCCTGGAATAATCATTACCAATTTCTTCATCACATTTTCTTAATGACACAGTTTCAAACGTTTTCTTCATCTTGATTGCTGTCTTCTGTGTATATGCTGGTTTGTGTGAGGTTTTACTAAACCAGTATGTGGATTAATCTAGTTTCACAGTGACAGGTAAGTGATTTAGAAAATCCTTCCTTTAGCACATGTTAACTTGAACGTTTGGAGGTAGAATGCCTAGAGTGAGGGTGAAGGAGAGGACCTGGGGACAGGAAGAGAGGGCAGCTGGGAGCAATTATGCTCCTTCCCTCAGACCTTTTTGGCCTTGACTCTTGATTCTTGTACTTCTACCAGACAGAGAGGCGGTAGGCTTGTGGCCATGTTTTGCGAGGAAAATCAGAATCTAAGAATCTCTAAGGCAAGAGCAAGAATGGATTGGGATAGGGGAAGTGATAGGAAAACAGAGGCACTAAGAAGAGGGTTGGTTTTCATGTACTGCATAGTTCATTCCCTTAGTTGAGAAATCAGGTATCTCAACCTCAGATATCTTCTGTCCAGCATATCGCTGGCCAGATCTGATTCATATGAGGGATCCAGAGTAAGGAAGCATCTGTTAGCCAAGTCTTTGGTTACCCCAAATTAGCTCAGGTCCTTTACTGCTTGTTTCCTCTGATTATATAGTACATATCCAAACCCTCAATTTTCCAGAATAAACTAGGTCTGCCTATTCTGTGTGGAAAACATTTGATGGTGGTTAAGATTCTCTTGCCTAGACGATGGTAGTGCCTTAGTCGTTTAACTGCCTGTCACTTTAAGATTTTGAAATACTGGTTCTCGTTGTGTAAGCCAGACACATCTTGAGAATATTTTACGGGGCAACTTGCCCTTTCTGAAACCTCAGTCATCCTGAAAAGTAACTCTGTACCTCCTTGACTTTAATTTTTCTGTCTTAATTCTATTTGTATACAATGTTTGTGGTGTCTGATTCTCTGTCTCGTATTGCTGAAACTCATGGCCTTGAATTTCTGGGTCACTCTTAAAAAATAGACATAACTTGATTACTAATGAAAAAGTGACTCATTTTCTTCCAGGCAAAGGCTGACACTGACTGTCACAGTTTGTGACAGAAGCAAACTCTCTAATTAGGAGACATCACCTATTCTTTTCTAAATTTTATAAGAATTGATGATAGCATCATGAGATGGGAAGTGAGTAAGATAAGCGTTTATGCTTGTAGAGAGGATGCATAAAAATGAAATCTGGATAAAGTTCTATCTGAATTTACCATTTTAAGTGGTTGATTCCCTGTGAGCTTAAATTTAGTGCTTCTCTTCCCAGACCGTTGTCTTACATACACACTTCAGTCAGTTTTAGCCTTGTATAACTAATCAGCAGGTCAGATTCCATAGAGGCTGAAATACCTACCACCATTCTATGCTCAAGAAAACAGGCTCTCATGTTGGCCAGTTGTTTGGGATAGAAGATGGTTAGACCTTTCTATCCCTTTTAAACACAAGATTCTTTTTCATTCCCCTTATCTTGTTTAAATATATTGTTCCTTCTGTTTGGTTGTTCTTTGCTTTCTTATGCATCTGTGAGGGGCTAGCTGAAAGTGTGAGTTGTGGAACAATTCATTTACATAAGTGTATATTGAATTATCTGTGCACCTAGAGGGTGATGGGCACTGTGAGGGATATTAAAAAAGAGACACAGTACAGTTCTTACCCTAGGATCCCCTGCTTGGAGTGGGACAGTGGTCAAGACATATACAACCACAAACACCCAAACATTAACATCAGCAAGCATCATTACATCCTTGGGTGGTATTGCCAAGGGACTTCAAAGGCCAAGATTATAGAGTCATCACACTTAGGAGGTCAAAGGGACTTTGGAAAGCACCTTTGTCACTCATTTTGTTTTATAAGTGAGGCGGCTGAGGTGTAATACAGCTAAGCGAATTAGCCTTTATTACATAACTCATTAGAATGTAGACTGGGACTAAGAGCTGTTTCTCCAGATCCCATTAGGCAATCTAAAGATTCTGCACTATTTCTTTTTCATTTTTGGTATCCAAATAGGTACAGTTGTTTTTGATCTAGGAAAATCCTTTTAGACTAAACAGTAAGCTTTTTAAATTACTCTGCTTTTAGATAGTTTTTGGACTTCAGAACTTTGAAGGTGGTCATCCACCAACATTGGGGAATGGAAAGAAGGCTCCAACACTTTTCTTTCTAGAGATCTTCTTTAATTTTCAATGGCAGTCACTACAGAATCTAGCAGTTCATGCTATTGAGACCACTTTGTAGGATTTTTTTTTTTTTTAGTCAGGGCTCCAGGTCCCTGGTGGTTTATGTAGTCAGTCTTTTATCAACAACCGATGAAAGACTAATAAAAGTGCAAGAGGGAATGAGGACTGTGTGTGTGTATGTCTGCACATGCACACATGCCTCTCTGTGTGTGTTGGTTAACTTCATATTTGGTAGGTGGGAGGGAAGGTGATTAAAAAATAATCTACTTTGCATGGAGTTGGCCCAATTTGACTGATATAGGGGTGAGTGGGGGTTAAGAAGTAGTCTATATATCAGGAATCTTAATTAGTTTTGAAAATCCTTTAGGTAAATAGCTCAACCCAGTTGTTCCCAAACTTCAAGTGTATTTATAGGGTCTTTTTAAGGGGTAAAGATTCCACAGAGCCCTTCACTTTGACCTTTTGCTTCTGCACTGAATAGTTGAATGCCTTCTATATGCCAGTCATTGTGTTAGGCACTGGGAGTATGAGAATTAATAATTTTAGTCTGTTGACAGATAATCATAATAAGGGCTAATGAGTAACACAGGCTCAGGGTTATTAAGAACAGAGGGGGTATCAAGGCTGTTTTTCACAGGAAATAACATTTAAGTTGAGACTTAATGAAATTTTAGGGCTTAGCCATGAGAAAGTGGGGAAAAGCATTTTGGGCTGACTGAACAGCGTGTACAGAGGTCTGGAAGTGAGAAGTAGTGTACTATAGCATTTTCTAGGAGCTGAAAGGCGTTTAGCAAGAGTATAGTGCATAAAGGAGAGAGCTTGAGATGAAACAATTTCTCAGTGTGTTGTTTGAATACAATGTATACTGTCAAAATCTAAGAATTCAAGAATCATTTAATATATCTTTATGTTTTACTAGTCATAAAAGCATATACATATATTTAAATATGGACAAGATACTGTTTAGTAGTTTAGAAAGTGATTTATAAGGATTGCAATCCCTTGCAATAACTCCACAGCCCATACCTTGGGAACAACTGAGCTAACTCATTCAGTTTTGTCCATTACATCGAAGGGTGTTTTTTGTAAACTCATATGTCTAGAATGTGTTTGCCATGTTTTAATCACAAGTAGATATTTTCTCAGGGTCCAGTGCAGTGAAGTATGGTAAGATCCTGATTGTGTTCTGGAACACAGAGGAAAGACCACCTTCTGTTATAGCAACAACACAAGTCTTTTAACACTGTGTGCCCCTTCCCAATCTTTCAAGTGATGATTGAAGAGACTAGGTGCTCAGCTCAGCCTTTGAGTTCTGATAAATGAGCCCAGACTGTAAACTGGAAGATAAGGATGTTTGTAAAGTTCTTGTATAAATAAAGCATGGTTTCTCATTGCAGTGGTTACTGATTTCATAGTCTGAGTGAAGATGAATGATGCTGTGAATCAACAGCTTTAAAGTCCGTATCACTTCAGCTTCTTTTTGGTTTAGGTTTCTTAAAATCAGTGTGTATTTAATGCTTTATTCAGATGAGGGGGTGAAAAACCTAACACATGTAAACTAAGTGAGGTGGGGTTTCAGAGATAATTCCCAGCCTCACAATTCCTCGTGAAGTTCTTTTCCTGTGGGAAACTTTTAATTTGGAAGCATGCAACCTAATGTGGGAACCAAGATTAACATTTTCTGAAATACTTCTACAAGAAAAGCAGAAATGGTCTGTCCAGGAAGCTGAATTTACATAGTAGAAAAATGAGCTGCCCTGCAGTATTTGGTAGTCTTTGTGTATTAGTTGTGATAAAAGTGTGTATGTGTGTGTGTACGTGTGTGAGAGTGAGAGATTGTATACTTGTCTTTGTTTCTTCACATACAACTAGTAAGGCCCTAGAAAAACTACACTAGAAAGTGTGTTTTACCACAAGCGTCCCAGTTCTGGACACCAATCTATACACAAATACTTTTTTTTAAAGTTCTTTTTGTTTTTCCTTCTTGCTGAGTAAGCTATAGTATTTCCTTTTTTTCTTTCTTTTTTTTTTGAGAGAAGGGGGGGTTGAGAGTAGAGTGGGAATGGCAAGAAGTAGTATGACAGAGCTTCTTCTCTTTTTTTCCCCTCTTTACCAGGAAGTTAACTAGAAGTCCTCATGCATGTTTTTAAAACAAAGTTGGTAATTAGCATAACCTAGTTAGTTACCTTTACACAGAGAGAATTAAAAAGTTGACAAGCCCATCAGACCTCAGCCAGGAGGTACTGAAAGGAGGGAGACCAGTGAGTTTAGACCAATAGGTGGGTTAGGCCTCCTGAATGCCAGCCTAGAAGTTTAGACTTGATTCTATAGGCTCTGGGGTACCTACAAGTTTGTAGTCGGAGCCTTGGGAATTGAATGTTACATAGGAACTTTCACTGGTTCCAGCTAGCCTTGGCTGTTAGCAATTACTTTTATCTACTTTAACAGGGGGGACAGAGTAGGGGGGCAGGAAACTAAGCTGGCATTATGGTCACAGGAAAGAACAGACTGATTTGGAGCCTTTCAAACTGCAGACCTTTGTTACTGACCGATGCTTAATTTGGTTTCTGGGTTTTGTTAGTTTTTTCCCCTGCCCTTACCTCATTTACCTTAATGACAGCTCCCCCCTCTAGAGCTCAGCTAGGGCAGGCTGCCACTGCGGATTGGGGGGCCAAGAGGCCCAGCGCAAGAAGAAAGTGGGTTGAAAGCAGAGTTCTGTTCAAAGAATTTTCTGCTGGAAACTAGCCCAGAGGGAGTAAAGAGGAGCTTTAATGAGGAGCAGCTTCAGTGCCGACGCAACCCACATGAGACTTTTTTTTCCCCTTCGTTCCACATTCTGTATAGTTTTTTTAAAAATCATGATTTTGAAATAGCTGTTTTGTAAAGCATGCCTCTCTTTTTCTTCTTGTATGTGGTGGGATTTTGCTTTGTTGTTGTTGTTGTTTTTTTTTGAATGGCCAAATCCTCGTTTTAAAAAAAAAAAAAAAAAAAAAAGCTAAAGACAGAGCTGCAGCAAAGCCCTGGATGCAATTTGGCCTCACCCTGCTGATACAGAACATTCGGTGGAGAAAACAAGGGGAGAGAACACTGGCTTTTATTTGGAAAAGGGGCTTATTTCCTGCTCAGACTTCAGTCATCTTGGAGCTGACACAAGCTGCTACACTGTTTTAAGCTTTTCTGTAGACGAGTGGCTATTCACTTAGGAAACGTGAAAGAACAAATTTTTCTGTCCTGTATTACTAGGGAGACTGATCCTGAACTGTAGCCATTGCCAGATAGATTGGAATTGCTATTCAGATCCCAGCTTCGTTGAAATCTGTAAAGTGGCTACATGTAAACTAATCCAGGCTGCTAGTGAGATGTGAGGGTTGGGGTCTGGTTTTCATCTGCTTAAGTGAGAGGAAACTGTAGGGGTATCCTTCAAATGGAATGTTTTCTAGTTCCATTAGGAGGAATCCCTTGTTTTTCTCTGTTTTCTTCCTTCCTTTGCTTTTCTACATCCAACCCCATGCGTATGTTTGAACAGTAACAATGGAAATGTGGACCTCTCAATGTCAGAAATGACACTTTTTTTTTTTTGAGATGGGGTTAGGCAGGTCTCGAACTTCTGCTCTAGCAATCTGCTTGCCTTGGCCTCCCACAGTGCTGGGATTACAGGTGTGAGCCACTGTGCCCAGCTGAGACTTTTAAAGAAAAAGTCATAAATACATCTTTATGGACCTGGTAAGTATTCAGATTAGTTTATGGAGTTTAAAATGGAAAAATGCTCCCCAAACCTTTCTCTGTATTCACAACCTCATCTGCGAAGTATGTTCTTTCAGAGTTCAATGCTAGAGAAGAGAGAGTAAGTAAAAGTCACTGAGAGACATTGAAGAGACAGTTATGAAAATAATTAATAAACTCCCTACAGGAGGGAAACATTCATATAGTTTTGCGGATGAAAGGCATCTGTTAGATTTTTGTGGTTATTTTTTAGAATATACACCTTTAGTTCAAGTGGTAGACTATTTTCCAAAATGTGTGCTGGGTAGCTTAATGGAATTATAGATATGTAAGGGGTGTTGGGTGTTTAGCCATGTTTTCACTCTCTAACCAAATTCAACTTTAGCCATCTCAAGAAGACAGCTATTTAAGCCCTTGTTTTCAAGCAGAGAACCTTACTTTCCACCAAGACTAACAGAGTATATTTTCTCCTTATACCACAGTTGAACAGGGATTTGCAAGTTGAAAGATCTCCTGCCTTAGGAAACAAGGGTCTGTTATTTCTGACTGTCTTACCTATTACTCCCCTTTCTTCCCATGTCCATAATGCTGCTTAGCTTCCTGGGGTGTGAAGGATAATTCTGTACCTCAGGATGACTATTAGGTTGATTTGGCCTGTTATTCTACCAGGCAGATCACAGAGTAGAGATGGATTTTGTGGAACATTTGGATTGAGAGACTGACTTTATCCATCACATGAAATTTAGCCTGCTATGGAACCAGCTGCTTAGTGGGGTTTAGGTACTCAGGTATTCAGGGAACCTACACCAAGGGTTCAAGACAGGCTCTTCCCCACAAAAACTATCTAGATGGGAGTTTGAGAAAGGTACAGCAAAGACATAACAGTGGCTTAAATAAAGAAGAACCATACCAGTGGAGACAATGTAGTGCATGACATGGCACTACATCTGCTGTTGGAAGGATCAGAGACAGGTGGGATGATTTGTAGAAGGCTTACTATAGGACAGGTTTACAGCAGATTTTTGAAAAAAGGGTGGAAGAAAGGAACCTAAGTTGGAGATATACCAGAAGGGAAGCATGATGTTTCTCACTGGAAATTAAAAAGATTTTAATATAGGGGACAGTAAACAAGATTGTGGAAATAATATGGAGTGTTCGAGTTATGGATTACTAAAGAGTAAGATGGTTAGATGATTGGAATGGGACAGACAGGCAGATCAGAGATTGTAAAGAACTTGGATTTGAAAGGCTTGGTATTAATACTGTTGCTAGTTTCTGAGCAGAAGAATGACATGAAAATTATGCTTAGGAAAGATTATTCTTTTAGTCATATGCTTAGGTTCAGCAAGGAATTTCCAGACTGTCCTTAGGGAGAGGAGAGGTATGGATAGGATGCTGGTCCATTTAGGATGTTAGAGCTGATTGAATAGGTGCTAGTCTTGGGGCAAGACTTAGTCATACACTTTCAGTTAAGTACTGTTTCATTGCAAGGTCTAGGTGAAGATAGGGATATATTTGTAAAACTGGGGAAATTGCTAGATTCACAGATAACCAACTTTGGGTAGATCAGTTAGCTTTGGTGTCCTTTTCAGTGCTATAGGGGTTCAGACCATTTGGTTTCTGAGATCACTGCTGAAATTCTGTGATTGTATGAGTATAATGTAAAAGTTGTCTCAATCAAGGAAACTTGGAGTAAAGACTCAATATGATGGATTTAAAAGGAATGAATGATAGTTCCAATTATTGGGTTCAAAAAACATGTGCTACAAGTATAAGATGAGAAAAATAGGGTACACTAGTAGTTCATGTGAAATAAGGCTCTGAATATTTTAGCTGAGTGTGTATTCCATAGCACATAGTAGTATTTTGTGGCTTCTAAAAAAGTACACATATCCATTGGGTATGAGTCGGAGCATTATTCTTTCTTGAACTGCGCTCTCACGATGCCTCCTCAGTTTAAGAACTTACTCTGAAATAGTAAAAGCATAGTGTCCAGATCAGGAGGTCATGGTTCAGCTCTGTGCTGCACTGGTAAGAACATGTGTTAAGCCTTTTTCCATTTTGAGCCTCACTTTTTAAAGAGGTTTTTGATGAACTGGAGTCATCCAGTGATGGGGAGGCAGGATAGCCTAGTGTTGAAGCACACGCACTCTAGAGTCTACTTGGGTTTGAATCCTGCCTCTTCCATCTACTAGCTGTGAATTTTTTTTTTTTTTTTTTGAGAGGGAGTCTCGCTCTGTCGCCCAGGCTGGAGTGCAGTGGCGCGATCTTGGCTCACTGCAACCTCCAACTTCTGGGTTCATGCCATTCTCCTGCCTCAGCCTCCCGAGTAGCTGGGACTACAGGCGCCTGCCACCACGCCTGGCTAATTTTTTATATTTTTAGTAGAGACAGGACTGTGTTAGCCAGGATGGTCTCGATCTCCTGACCTGGTGATCTGCCTGCCTCGGCCTCCCAAAGTGCTGAGATTACTGGTGTGAGCCACCGCACCTGGCTTAGCTGTAAAATCTTAATCTTTCTAAGCTTCGAGTTCCTCATATATAAAATGGAGATTATAATATAGCACTGGAGCGAGTAATACAAGAGACAATAGCTATCAAATGCTTAGCAAATATACAATACATAGTTAAGTACTTAGAAAATATGTTTTCAGTTACTTCGGGTATATACCTGGGAAGGGAGGCAGAAAATTTTGGTCATTCTGATTATTATTACTACTATTAAGCATAGAAGCACCACTAAAAAGGTGAAGAAGCCTGGAAATAACCCTATACTGAGGAATACGCCAAACCATTGAATCCTGGAAAAAAGAAAACAAAAGGCCCACATAACTATCTTCAGATTCTTGAAGGGCTACGTGTAAGAGAAGCAGAAGGCTTGTTCTTTTTTGTTCTAGAGGGTAGAGATAACCTGGAAATTGTAGAGAGACAAAGTTTGTTCTTTTCAAAGTTAAGACATAATTTATGTATCATAAAATTTACCCTTTTAAAGTGTTTAATTTAGTAGACTTTAGTATTTCCAGAGTTATGAGACCACCACCATTATCTAATTTCGAAACATTTTTATCACCCTGAAAGAAATTCTCTACTGCTTAGTAGTCACTGTCTATTTCCCTTTCTTTACAGCTCCTGGCAACACTAATCTACTTTCTATCTCTACGGATTTGCATATTCTGGACATTTCATATAAATGGAATTATATAATATGTGGCCTTTTGTGTGTGGCTTCTTTCACTTAGCATGTTTTCAAGGTTCATCCATGTTGTAGCATGTATCAGAATGTCATTCCTTTTCATGGCCACATATTTCATTTATGGATATACCACATTTTATTTATCTGTTCATCAGCTTATAGGCATTTGGGTTGTTTCTACTTTTTAGCTATTATGAATAATGCTGCTATGAACATTTTTATTATGTGGGCATATGTTTTCAGTTATCTCGGGTATATACCTAGGAAGGGAGGCAGAATTTGAAGAATTAAGAAAGAGCTTTCTCACAGTGGAATCCACCCACATTGAAGACTGTTCTTTTGTTGAAGTAGTCAGCCAGTAATTTCACTTAACAAATGCATAGTGTTTACTATGTGCTGGATAGTGTTCTAAGTGCTTTACCCTTATTTAAAAATCCTATGAAGTAGGCACTGTTATTACATCTCTTTTACAACAGGGAAGTTTAGTACCTTGCCCAAGATTACACATTGAGTAAATGGTGGAGTTGGGATTGAAATCCAGGTGGTCTGGTTCCAGAGTCTGTACTCTTAAGAGCAGAACAATAATAACTCCAAGCATTTATTAAATTCTCAAGATTTATCCGGCACCATGCTACATGCTTGTATTCAAGCAGAGGCTGGTGATCATCTTTTAGAAATATTTTAGAAATGATTACTTAATTGGATAGAAATTAAATTTCTTGAATCTGAAGGTTCTGTTATTCCAAGGATGGCTGGAAATGGGGGAAAAGCCAGCAACAAGATGATGTCTGGCCTGAGGCTTTTAAGATGATCAGAATTTGTATCAAAAAGGAAACTGTGAACACGAATGATAAGTATTATAGGAATTCAGTTAACAAGTCTTGTCAGAATGTGGTAATAAATTATATACAACTTAAAGAGATGAAGTTACTTTAAATTGTGTGTGGAAGCCTTAGAAAAATTGAATAATTAAAGTTTCTTGGGAAGATGATCTCCTTTTACAAATGTTTAGTTTCAAATAGTGGCAGCACATATTAGGATAGAGAGATGACTTCTAGAAAACTGAACATATGGGACTGGAACAGTGTATTTTGGAGTCAGTTACAGGAAGGAAGTTGTTTAAAACCAAGTGAACAACAGTAACAAATGCATTTGAGAGAAAGAGCAGTGCAGTCCAGACTTAAACGTTAGGGTGGCCATAATATATGGGGAAGAAGGAGAAATCAGCAATCCAGACTAAGACTTCACTGGGTTTTGAGTTAGACAGAGGGAGTCATAGAAGCCAAGGTAAAATGATTAAAACGGTACATGGAGTGGTTAGCAATTCTCCCTATAGGAGAGAGAATTTCCTTATGAAGTTTCAGATGAGACCACTGAACTTGACTAGAGGAAAGTCATTGTTTTTAGAAAACAGTTTCTAAGCAATAATTAGAATTAAAGTTTTGTTGCAGAGGGATAAGTAAGAAGTAGATGGAAAAGAAAGAGAAATATCTGAAATTAGGCTACAGTCATAGAAGGTTAGCTGTGAAACAATAATTTGGAAAGGTAAATGGGACCTCATGAAAGTGTGGGTTAAAAGAGACTTGTATATCTTCTAAGGTAAAAGTAAAGAACTAAGCTGATGTCCAGCCCTCTAAAACATTTTAAATAGAAATCAAACTTTATTAATACAGTAGGTCTAGTTTCACATAAAGCAAATATATGGTTCTGTACACCGGCTTTAGGAGAGTAAGTCTGTTGTACCTCATATGTAAGTATTATCCCATTTAGAGGAAAACCCTAAGTCTTTCTTTACAGTGGCTTAAAGGCCCCAATTGATCCACATCCCAGTTACAGCTCTCATCTATTTTCTGCTGCTCCAGATATTCTTGCTGTTTCTCAAACACGCTAGGGCTGCTCTCTGTGTTATGGCCTTTGCATTTGCTGTTCCCTTTCTCATGAATGTGTTTCCCTAAGATACCTGCATGATTACTCTCACCTTATTTAGGTCTCAACTCAAGTATTGTCAGTGAAGGTCTTCTCTGATTTTCCTATTCTAAACTGAGATACTTCTCTTTGCTCACCCCACACCCTCATCCCCAGTTCCATTCCATTCCTTCCTGTTTAATTTTTTTTCACAGCACTTAACTCCATCTATTGTGCATCTTTTACTTAGTAATTTTGTTTTCGTCTTCAGCTATTAGAATGTAAACTCCAAGAGTGTAAGAATTTTTCTGCCAGGACTCAAAAGGACATGGGAGTACGTGGTTAAGTTCTCTAAGGACTCTTTCTTCTAAAGGGAAGCAGTTTTATAGGTGGTACTTGTAGGTCTGTTGATTCACAATCTCGTGCTTTCTTGATTGGACTGTATTGTTTTACTGTAATTTTTTGGACTTACAAGAAGTCAGGTGTTTTCATGGACTCTTCTCTTTTCCATACAGATGTCCAGAAGGCTTCTTGGGGGAATATTGTCAACATCGAGACCCCTGTGAGAAGAACCGCTGCCAGAATGGTGGGACTTGTGTGGCCCAGGCCATGCTGGGGAAAGCCACGTGCCGGTGTGCCTCAGGGTTTACAGGAGAGGACTGCCAGTACTCGACACCTCATCCATGCTTTGTGTCTCGACCTTGCCTGAATGGCGGCACATGCCATATGCTCAGCCGGGATACCTATGAGTGCACCTGTCAAGTCGGGTTTACAGGTAACTAATGAGACCAAAGCCAGTGCTTCCCTACCTTCAGCAGATACCTTTATTTAGCATCTTTTAGATCATGGTGTCTGGCTCTTAAATGTCCCCCAGCTCTGGTGCACATTTAACATTATGATAAGGAACTGGGATGTTCCAGACAACTATCCCTAACTTCCTTTTAAGAGTTTCAGGGGGCAGAGAAAGAGAAAGAAAAAGGACCAAATACTTTGACTGCTTAAAGTATATATGTCAGGGCCAGGTGCGGTGGCGCACGCTTGCAATCCCAGCATTTTGGCAGGCCAAGGCAGGAGGATCACTTGAGGCTAGAGGTTTGAGACCAGCCTGGGAAACATAGCAAGACCCCATCTCTACAAAAAAACAAGAATAAAAATAAAACAAAATTAGTCATGTGTGGTGGTGTGCACCTGTAGTCCTAACTACTTGGGAGGCTGAAGTGGAAGAATTGCTTGAGCCCAGGAGTTTGAGGCTGCAGTGAGCTATGATCGCACCACTGCACTCTAGCCTGGGTGACAGAGTGAGACCCTGTCTCAAAAAAAAAAATATGTACACCAGGATGGGGAATCAGAGTTTACTTCACTAAAAGAAATAAGTACACTGTCACCAGAGGAAAAGTTGCTGATGTTATTGACTATTTGCTTTTAGAAATCTCCCTCCCTAGACATTCAGGGCACTGGCTTTTCTGGTTTTCTGAACCCTGTTCCTTTTGCTTCTTCATTACCTTGTTCTTATCCATTAAATGTTTGTGCTCCCTGGAGCACTGTTTTGCGCCCTCTTTTGAGCCACATCACAGCTCTCCCTAGGGAATTTCACTGTCTGTATTCGCCTCCACTGCCACTGTCTTCATTAGCTTGCTGATGAATCTCACCATCATTCCCTTAGCTCCACCCAACCCTGACATTCAGGCTCATGTTTCTAGCTATCCTTTGTATGTTCTCCTTGGAGATATTCTACAGGTACTTTCAGCTCACCTTGTTGACAGAAATACGTAGCAACCATGTACATCCCAAATACCCACGCTAGAAACTCCCTGTCCCTTGTTCTGACCTCATTTCAACTCAGTCACCCAAGCCAACCTCTGAGTTGCCTTTCACCTGTCTATTCCTCCCATTTCCTCTGCTACCCTGTAGTTGAGGGCCATGTTATCTCTCACCTGGACTTCTGAAGTAGTTTCTGAATACGTTTTCTTGCCTTTATTCTCTCCCCATCTCATTCACCCATGATATTACTACATCTTTGATTATAAATGCAAATATTCTAACAATCTCACCTGCTTACAATGTCTAATATTTTTTCATCATCCGCAGAATAAACTGCAAACTCTTTTACATGACTTCCATAGCTCTCTACAGCCTAGACTTTACATCTTTTTATAGCCTGGCCTCCCCACAAGCATCTAGGCCTAGTCACACCAAATTCTCCTTATTTCCTGAAAATGTTGTACTTATTATTGCTTCCATACAGTTACACACCCTTTTGCCTGGAATGCCCTTTTCTACAACTGGTGATTGTCCAATGTTATTTAAAACTGTGTCTTAGTGACCCTTTCATGATTCCTTTAGGCAAATGGTCTCTAAGTTTTATTAGTTTTATGTATCACATTTTATTGTAATTTTTTTTACACATATCTCACCTGAATAGATTGTGGGTTTTTCTAGGTGGGTCTGAGCTTTATTCAAAAGTGTTTATTAAATTAGATGAGAAAAGGAGGAACATTCTTCATTTTTTCTCCTGCTTTAAGCACTAAACCAAGAGTTCTATAAATGCAATAAGCAAAAAAGTGAAAAATGTACTCAGAAGACTATACTGGATCAGTTAGTGTAGAATACTGTTATATTAATTTTTCATTGTATTAGGGTTCTCTAGAGGGATGGAACTGATGGAATATATATGTATGTATATATATTCCAACCCAAAGTGTCTTGGTGGCAATCTTAATATATATATATTGGCAATCTTTATATATATATAAAGGAGAGTTTGTTAAGTATTAATTCACATGATCACAAGGTCCCACAATAGGCTGTCTGCAGGCTGAGGAGCAAGGAGAGCCAGTCTGAGTTCCAAAACCGAAGAACTTGGGGTTCGATATTTGAGGGCAGGAAACATCCAGCACGGGAAAAAGATGTAGGCTGGGAGGCTAGGCCAGTCTCGCTTTTTCATGTTTTTCTGCCTGCTTTATATTTGCTGACAGATGATCAAATGGTGTCCATCCAGATTAAGGGTGGGTCTGCCTTCCCCAGCCCACTGACTCAAATGTTAATCTCCTTTGGCAACACCTTCACAGACACACCCAAGATCAATACTTTGTATCCTTCAATTCAATCAAGTTGACACACTCAGTTTTAACCACCACAAATCTACCCCTTGTCAACTTGAACCCATACACATCTCCTGAGATCACACATAATCTTCAAATAAAGACAATAATTAGGTCATAATTACACCTGATGTAGTACAACTATTCTTCGTACATCCGGAAACACACCAGTCCCCAACTGAAACACTCTTACATAAAGTTAACGATACTTAAATGCTGATGTGAAGTCAATAAATCTTATGTCACATGATAAAGGAGAAAGGAAATAAAATGAAGATATTTTCTTAGTACAAGTGTGTGCAAGCACAGACATGTTTTTAATAAAAGAAGGAGGAAATACTGAGGACAATTACAGTCCTCATTTCTGCAGCTGGTCACATGGTAGTAGGTGGTATTGATGACTACCTTCTTCTACCCATTTTGTATTCCTTTTGCCTTCAGCAAACACCTCAGCAGGTTGTGTTTTTTTTTTTTTCCTGATGGAGAGGCCCAAACCTTCATTCATCCAGGCGGGACCATTTGTAGTCCCGCCTGGATTGGGCTGTTGTAGTTGCCCATTGACCTTAATCACAGGGCATGGTAATACTAAGAGACGCCCTAATGGATCTCCTGTATTCCATGAATACTCTTTCTTACCTCCGTTCTGGAGTAGTAGACTGATTTCATCTTGATAGCCTGGGTCTTGATAGCCTTGATGTCCCAGCCAACACTGTAACGCCTTTCTTAGCCTGTTTACTTAAAGGTAGGAACCCAAAGTGTCCTGGTGGCAATCTTAACTACCAGTTTAATGGAATTGTTGTTGTGTCTTCTGGTGGCAGCATTCCTCCCTCTGGAACTAAGACCTCTAGGCCAGCAGAACTTAATGTTGCGGGAACAGGAAGCAAACATTTTGCTAGTGGATCACTAGGGGTGATGGTGAGTGGTACCACTTCCATTTCCACCCCGTGATTCCTGGACCTGTGAATCCTGGCTATGGGAGAAGCAGTACCACATATTGGACGCTGATTCAGAGCATACACAGCCTTCTTGAGAACTTTGCCCCAACCCTGCAAAGTATTCTCACCTAGTTGGCATTGTAATTGTGACTGCAAAAGGCCATTCCACCGTTCTGCTTCAGGATGTTGGGGAACATGGTAAGACCAGTGAATTCCATGAGCCTGAGCCCACTGCTGCACTTCTTTAGCCATAAAGTGAATGCCTTGGTCAGAGGCAATGCTGTGTGGAATACCATGACAGTGGATAAGGCATTCCATGAGTCCGCGGATGGTAGTCTTGGCAGAACCATTGCATGCAGGATAGGCAAACCCATATCCAGAGTAAGTGTTTATTCCAGTAAGGACAAACGTCTGCCCTTTTCACAATGGAAGAAGTCCAACATAATCAACCTGCCACCAAGTAGCTGGCTGATCACCCTGAGGAATAGTGCCATATCAAAGGCGCAGTGTTGGTTTCTGCTGCTGGCAAATTGGGCACTCTGCGGTGGCAGTAGCCAGGTCAGCTTTCCACCGGCCCATCTTGTTTTCTGCACTGGGAAGGTGGGGCATGAGCACAAATGTTAGGACCTGAAAGGTGGTGAACTCTGCCTGGGCAGGGCAAAGCCAGAGGAAACTCTGGTGGAGGTCCGTAGCAGTCCTGATGTGCAAATCGGTCATCCAACCTGGGTGTAGGGGCGAAAGACTAATTGAACCATCTAGTAGCTGGTTCCCTCCAAAGTTTCCCTCGGGATAGCTGGCACTCTCGCAAAAACCCCACTCTTGGTACCAATTTACTGTATTAGTCCATTTTCACGCTGCTGATAAAGATATCCCCGAGACCGGGAAGAAAAGAGGTTTAATTGGACTTACAGTTCCATATGGCTGGGGAGGCCTCAGAATTATGGTGGGAGGCAAAAGGCACTTCTTTCGTGGTGGTGGCAAGAGAAAATTAGGAAGAAGCAAAAGCAGAACCCCTGAGGAACCCATCAGATCTCATGAGACTTATTCACTATCATGAGAATAGCACAGGAAAGACTGGCCCCCATGATACAGTTACCCCACTGGGTCCCTCCCACAACACATGGGAATTCTGGGAGATACAATTCAAGTTGAGATTTGGGTGGGGACACTACCAAACCATATCATTCATCAAAAGGTGTTGGTGGGGTAGAGGGTAGTTAGGATGATCCATGATCTCCATCATGATGATGATGGTATTGATGATGTAAGTCACTGAAAATATTTGGTGTTATAAGAATAATTTCTTCCTGATTGTCAGTTTTGAGTTGTTTTGCTATTAGGAGGCAAAGTAGGGGGGCATATACCCACTTAAAATATTTCAATTCTGGCTAGTGGAAATGACAGTAATGCCTTCTTCATAATTAAAATGTCACTCTGAAATGGTCCCAAATTAAAACTTCTTCCTTGTTGTTAAGAAGGATCTCTTCTTGGTGTGTTCTGCAAGATTCTGATCACCTTTTTTTTTTTTTTTTTTTTTTTTGAGATGGAGTATTGCTTTGTCATCCAGGCTGGAGTGCAGGGCGCAATCTCGGTTCACTGCAAGTTCCACCTCCCGGGTTCACGCCATTCTTCTGCCTCAGCCTCCTGAGTAGCTGGGACTACAGGCACCTACCGCCATGCCCGGCTAATTTTTGTATTTTTAGTAGAGATGGGCTTTCACCTTGTTAGCCAGAATGGTCTGGATCGCCTGACCTCATGATCCACCCGCCTCGGCCTCCCAAAGTGCTGGGATTACAGGTGTGAGCCACCACACCGGGCCGATTCTGATCATCTTTTATACATATGCTATTTTTGTCTATCACTTTAGGAATCATCACAGATCAAGGTCATCCTTTTGGTTTTTGTGATAGCACTATACCTCAGTCAGCTTACTAGCTCATCTCCACTCAGAGATGAAGAAGCAGAGGCAGCAAGTTAGTGCCTATACATAATATATATGGAAACCAAATTCAGGGTTGATTCTTTCTTTCTTTCTCCCTCCCTTTCTTTCTTTCTTTCTTTCTTTCTTTCTTTCTTTCTTTCTTTCTTTCTTTCTTTCTCTTTCTCTCTCTTTCCCTCTCTCTTTCTGTCTTTCTTTCTTCTCACTCTGTTGCTTAGTACAGTGGCGCAGTCTCGGCTCACTGCAACCTCCACCTCTTGGGTTCGAGTGATTCTTGTGCCTCAGCCTCCCAGGTAGCTGGGATTACAGGTATGCGCTATGAAGCCCGGCTAATTTTTGTATTTTTAGAAAAGATGGCGTTTCACCATGTTGGCCAGGCTGGTCTCAAACTCCTAACCACAAGTGATCTGCCCACCTCAGCCTCCCAAAGTGCTGGGATTACAGGCATCAGCCACCACTTCCGGCCCAGGGATCTTTCTGTTTCAGTTGTGGGCATCACTCTGAAAATCACACTTGCTAGAAGTGAGCATTTATATCTCTTCTCCACTGTAAATAAGTGCCTCTTAGTGACATGAGTGGAAAGACAAGAAGAATTGCAGTTCCTTCATTTTCTGTCTTAGCTCCCTGAGATGTATATGCTGTGCCTAAATTTGTGTTATAGTTTTCTCCTTTGATTTGACATTCCTTGATAGGCAGAGAGCACTTTTCTGTGCTCATATGTCACATCTCGCATCCTTTTCCCTTATAGAAAAACTCTTGTGTCTCCCATTTACCTTTCTATGAGGTCAGAGATTTAGATACTTTCCTAGACAATCAACTGGAGTATTAACAAATTCAAGGAGTTCTCGCCATCCCATTACTGGATATATACCCAAAGAATTATAAATCGTGCTGCTATAAAGACACATGCACACGTATGTTTATTGCGGCACTATTCACAATAGCAAAGAGTTGGAACCAGCCCAAATGTCCATCAATGATAGACTGGATTAAGAAAATGTGGCACATATACACCATGGAATACTATTCAGCCATAAAAAAGGATGAGTTCATGTCCTTTGTAGGGACATGGATGAAGCTGGAAACCATCATTCTCAGCAAACTATTGCAAGGACAAAAAACCAAACACCGCATGTTCTCACTCATAGGTGGGAATTGAACAATGAGAACACTTGGACACAGGAAGGGGAACATCACAAACCGGGGCCTGTCGTGGGGTGGTGGGATGGGGGAGGGATAGCATTAGGAGATGTACCTAATGTAAATGACGAGTTAATGGGTGCAGCACACCAACATGGCACATATATACATATGTAACAAACCTGCATGTTGTGCACGTGTACCCTAGAACTTAAAGTATAATAATAATAATAGTAATAAAAATTCAAGGAGTTCTCATCTCTGTAGTTTAAATAATAAGTGACTTAGACTAATGACAACAAAAAGCCAGCCATGTGAATACCAAATTTACTAGTTCTGTGAGGATATTTTTTTCTCTTTCTCTTTCTGCCTCAAAGAATCTGCTTTGCTTCCCCTGCCATCATGATTTAGTTTTCAACCCGTCAGAGTCTTCCTGCTAGTGCTGGTACTTTCCTACTTGAGAAAGTCCATGGAATACCTTCGAGACCTCTGTCCTCCTGATGGCTTCTATTTCATTTGTTATATAGGGACCCAGAGTTCCTTCATCATTTTCAAACACATCAACAGATATTTATAGCAAGGCCACAATTAATAAAATGTTTCCCAGAATATATGTGTGTGTTACATTTAGAGGAAACAGAAGTAGTATTGACTTGTTTCTATCACCAGAGGTCTATTTAGTAACTATATTTTGTGGAAAATATCGATATATTTTATCCATTCAACAGACATGATTTGAGAGCATACCATGGAGACCCAACCCTGCCAGTGTGGCAGGTGGTATAATAGAA
This sequence comes from Homo sapiens, assembly GCF_000001405.40. Lineage (NCBI taxonomy): Eukaryota > Metazoa > Chordata > Mammalia > Primates > Hominidae > Homo > Homo sapiens. Next base: position 402,858 of record NW_025791753.1, read on the forward strand.
GAAAATAGCAAACTTGGTGTATCTGTGTTTGCGCACATGTATGTATGTGAGGGGCACTAAGGATGACTTTACAGAGGTTGGAACTTTTGAGTACAGTTGCCAAGATAGGGAGAGTTCACTAGGAAAACAGAAGGGAAGTTGATTTTTTTTTTTTTGAAATAGAGTCTTGCTGTGTCGCCCAGGCTGGAGTGCAGTGGTACAATCTCGGCTCACTGCAACCTCCGCCTCCTGGGTTCAAGTGATTCTTCTGCCTCAGCCTTCCAAGTAGCTGGGATTACAGGTGCGCGCCACCATGCCCAGCTAATTTTTGTATTTTTAGTAGAGACAGGGTTTCACCATATTGGCCGGGCTGGTCTTGAACTCCTTACCTCATGATCTGCCTGCCTCGGCCTCCCAAAGTGCTGGAATTACAGGTGTGAGCCACTGCTCCTGGCCCAGAAGTTGATATTCAAACAGGAGCAGCATATGCAAAGACAGTGAGCTCTGAGAGAGTAGATGGATCCAGACTCCTATTGCTAATAGCGTCCTGCAGGATTGGGCTTCAATGTGACTAACCTACAATTGCCTCCAGGTGCTCCACCCACTGAGTCCTTGTGTCTCTGCTGAGGTCCTTGGAGAGTTACTGGAGAGGGCTCTGTGTCAGATTACCTTGAGGAGGCTCTGATTTAGCCTTTTGTAAAATGCAAAGAGTTGAGGTCTTCTCCACGCAAGAGCTCGCTGATGTCAATGAGGTATTGAGGATGGGGCCATCTCCTATTTCTGTGGCCAGTACTGAGTTTTGTTATCCTTCCTTTAGGTAAGGAGTGCCAATGGACCGATGCCTGCCTGTCTCATCTCTGTGCAAATGGAAGTACCTGTACCACTGTGGCCAACCAGTTCTCCTGCAAATGCCTCACAGGCTTCACAGGGCAGAAGTGTGAGACTGATGTCAATGAGTGTGACATTCCAGGACACTGCCAGCATGGTGGCACCTGCCTCAACCTGCCTGGTTCCTACCAGTGCCAGTGCCTTCAGGGCTTCACAGGCCAGTACTGTGACAGACTGTATGTGCCCTGTGCACACTCGCCTTGTGTCAATGGAGGCACCTGTCGGCAGACTGGTGACTTCACTTTTGAGTGCAACTGCCTTCCAGGTAAGGAGCTCCCTAGTGTCCCAGGATTAGGGGACAAACCCCTAGCACAGGAGGTAGTGGGTGTGGCTCAATTGCATTTTTTAGGAAGCGCAAGGAAAAAGGGAAGTGAGAATTTTGTGTGGGGTGGGTTGCTAGTGAGGGAGGAGTTTTATGGGCCCACTGTGGTCCATAAACTGAGCAGGGGATAATTTAGCATGTCAGGGTTTATGATGATGAGTGGCTAGAAAATTGTTTATTGTCCCTTTTGTAGAAACAGTGAGAAATAAGAGGAACAGAGCTCTGGGAAAGAGACAGGCAAGTCTGGAATGGAAAAGAACACGATGAGAATTAGACACTGGAAAATATGTATGTGTGGTTAATAAAGTGCTTTAAACTGAATTGACATTAACAGTAGGTGATCAACTTTACTATGTGCTTGTGCTTTTGCTTTTGATGGAGTAATTCATTGTTTTCTTATCCACCTAAATGCACCCAGCTGCCCTTGATTTTCTCTGGGCTACTGGCCTTCACAACCCTCTCCCATGTACCCTCTCTGACTTTGGGGTAACCCTCCCCTAACTTAAAGCTAGAGAATTCTGAAACTGAGGAGGGGATCCTCTGTTAATCAGTGAGCACTTTTTGATGAGCTGATAGATGATATATGAGAGACTATGTGTGGCACAATACTTTGTTACACTCTTCACTGATACAAGTGTTGTAGAGTGCACACACAACCCAAAGATAGAAATAAAAAGAGGAGCAGTGTCGGGGAGCTTGGGGCCTGGTGTTCCATGGAGAGGGAGAAAGGAACAAGCTTGGCCAATTCATTCAACTCCTTATAAAAATGATGAGGAGGCTGAAAACCAAGAATTTTGATTGGGAACAGAATACAAGCAGCTGAAGCAGATGAATTACTAAGCAACAAAGATCCTGTTTTTATACAAATATCCTTAGTACAAAAACAAAAGAAGGAAAACTGTAGGAGGGAGTAATGTGCTAAGTAAGCAGAATTGCCTCAAAAAGAAGTTGTTCTAGTTACTCTTTCAGAGTGGGAATCTTAGATTCTGGTATTGTGGATATGGTTCACATATAATGGGATTGTGTGTTTTATTTTGGAGGGATTAAAGGTCATAGTTTGGTCCTCAGTATAAAATCAACTGGTAATTTATTCATTTCATTTGGTAAAAATGTATTGACTGCCTGCTATGTTCTAGGCACCATGCTATGTATTTGGAATACAGCTATACAAAGCATTGTCACATAATTGAAATGAAAATTTTATATTATTTAAGTCACAAGAACAAGCTATTTAATTATATTACTTTTAGTTTCTCTTTTAATAAAGAATAGATAATGCTATCATTCTAGATACTAAATAAGTATTTTCTTAACATAATATTACTATCCACTTTATCTTGTAGAAGAAGTAACTAAAATACATCTGTCTTCACTCCTGTATTTGTTTGCATTTTAAGGGTTAAAGACAGAAATAGAAATGTAAACAACTTTATTTTGAAAATATTTCAACACTGCAAATATCTCTGGGTCTGATATTCTAGTAATCTAATTGGCTAGTAATTGATGTTAGTGTGATTTATTGTTGAAGGCTAAATGTGTTTTTCAGTTTCAAGAAAATTGCTTTTAATAATTGCCTAGAACAAGAGGTTGATTTGGCAGCAAGATGTTGACGGGAAGTTAGAGAAGTCAATAAAGGAAGTTTTTAGCTGAGAGAGAGTGATTATTCACTCCCATAGCCTCTGCATTGTTATCCATTAGCCACGATAAGAACCTTAGGGAATTCTGAGAGTGTGTCCAGGAAAGGATCTGTCAAACTAGAATAGTATCTCCTCCTTGAGAAAGGAAATAACCAAGGATTCCGCAGCTGAGAGGCTGCCAGGGCTAGTGAAATAGAGTAAGGAAATCTTGGCTGTCTCTTATTCTCTGGTTGTAGTTTAACGCAAGACACTTATTTACTCACTGATGGTGTGTGTGTGTGTGGGAGGGGAGATTAGCATGAGGGGTGGGAATGGGGAGATTTGATGAAGAGAAAACTAACATTTTTTTGGTGACTCAGGAACTGTGCCAGGTACTTCCATGCTTATTAGCTCAATTACACAAAAATCTTGGGACCAGGTATTATTTTTCAAGTCTTCCCACATGAAGTAACTGAAGTTTGGAGATGTTAAGTGATTCACCCAAAGTTGTACAGCTAATATGTGGTTAGGCTGGGTCCTGAAACCGAGGCAGTTTATTTTCAAAGCCTTTGCTTTGTGCATCTTACTGCGCCACATTGCACTGCACATCTGCTTCCTGAAAGCACTTTGTAGGTGTGTAAAACTTTTCGTTAAATGCTTTAAGCTGTTTGGGTTAAAAATATATGTTCATGTTATAAGAAAACCAAGACACTCCTAATTATAATCAAATAGTACTTGTTACATATCAATATGTGTGTGTGTGTGTGTGTGTGTGTGTGTATATGCCGTTGTGCAGATGTTTAAAAGTAGTTACATAGACTAGTTCTTGCTTTTCAGGGTCCCATAATCTAAACCAGATGACTTCAGCTTTGGATAAATATATAGAAGGAAATTTAAAGAGAATTCAAAACAATAGATGATGCAGTGACACTGTGAATAAATGTTATTTATACAGTTTGTAAGATTTCATGCTCATTGTTCGTATGTCCCAGGTGGAGTTCAGAAAATATTCACTTCATTTCCACAAAGGGAAATAGTGCCTAGAGATGGTTTTCTTTTAAAAAGTCCTTTTCATAATGCAGTGCCCTTCCTTCCATTGCCCTTCATTCCATTGCTTCCCATGCTTGTCAAGAGACTAAAATGTTACTTATAGTAATAGTCACTATCTCAATGTAAATAGCACCCTTATTTGATGAGAATTATTATTTCAGTTCTAAAAATGGGGAAGCAAAGTCAGCAGGAGGCAAAGTAGCTTGTTAAAGTATTCTGCAACTTTCAAATGGTTGCTTCCACTGCATTTCACGTCTTGGCACTTCTAATTGAGGGTTACTCTAACCACCCTATTTAAAATTGTAACTGTCCCCCACCCCCTTAATTACTAACCCTGGTCTACTTTTTGTTTTCTTTTTCTGTAACTCTTATCTTCTTACTATATAATTTATACTATATAATTTACTTCATTATGTCTATTGTTTATTGTCTGTCTTTTCCAAATTCTACTGCCTCTTACCCTCTCCAGAATGAAAACTAGTATCTTTGTTTTTGTTTACTGATGTAACCCAAACACCTACAAACAGTGCCCAGTATATACTAGGCCCGCAAATATATATTGGCTGACTGACTGTATGGTTTAGTATCATGTCATAGTATTGAGACTGTAACTTTGGTCTTCTCATTTTCTTCTTTGTATTGTGCGTCCTAGACTTAGTTTGGCCTCTCCTTCTGTCCTTGTATACTCTAATACTGGATAAGAATTTTGGAGTCTTTTTCAACTCTGAGTCAGTGAATGCCACATAACTTAGTGACTATATTTAAATGGTTAATTTACAATTTTTTCCCTGCAAAGGATACTGTAGTCACTGTGAGTATTTTAGTATTATTGTAGGACTCAAGAGGGAATTAAAACTACAAAAATGACTCGTCTTGTATGACACAGAAAGAAATGTTTCTTCACAGAGGGAGGAGAAAAATATCTTCAAGAGAGAACTAATTGAATCAAATCAATGAACCATGTCTCATCTTTTTGGATAAGTAACTGTTAGTAATCCAGACACTTCATGAGCTTTCATTATGTAAAGTCTTTAGCAGAAGCTAAAGGAGGGGCACCAACCACAGTAATTTTAACTTAAGAACAAAATGGAGCATGAAAATAAATTATTAAATCATTTACTCCCACTATTTTTGGGTTAGGGCCAATAATGGGGAGAGAAAGAGGTAGACTAGTTTTGTGTTTGTGGCTATTTTAATAGAGTAGCACAAGTAATCAAAAAACAGTAGGCTGTTTTGAATTTACTGGCTGTCCCTTATGAGTTCACAGTTAGATTGGACTGTCCTCAATGTACTTTCTTTTTTTTCTTTCTTTCCCACATCTCTTTATTTCTCTGATTTTGTTTAAACTTCATAAAGAGCTCTCTGATCTTTCCTTTCCAAACAATGAAGGTTTATCCTTTGTAAACTACCTCTGTACTCCACAGGCTGATGATATATGATATCCCTATATCATTAAAGTAAAGCCTAAGCACATTCTGTGGCTTTTGTGTCTACTCTGTTGTTGCTGAGCTTATGAACTATTAGAAATAATTCCCTCTTGCATTTTCACACATGGGGAATGTGATGTTCTCTTGGGTATTATGCTAATCATATTTTGGCAGGTTTCTCTGAAGCAGATGCAGAAATGATCATACCACTTTCCAGGGTGTATTATTTTAGCTCCTTTGACTTGGGCCCTAAGTCTGTTTTACCTGATGTTCCTGAAAGATGTTCCTGATGTCCCTCACTGTTCTTTCATGCTGGATGTTCTTGCCTATGCTGCCTCCTCAGCTATCACCCTCTCTTCCCCTTTTTAATGTAGAACTCATTCTTAATGATTTGTCAAAGGCACCCTATTTCACTGAAATGCCTTCTATATTCCCTACCCTCCAAGTGGATTGTAGACCTTCTAAGGTCTTTTGACATCTGCATATCTCTAGCACAGCACTTATCACGGTGATTATTTATCTGTTCATCTTTCCAAGTAGACACTCTCATTTTAACTCCCTACCCTAGTCGCCAGCATCCCCAGCATAGTGCCTGTCATAAAATGGTGCCACAATGAAAATTTGAAAAATGAATGAATTGAACGTGATAAACATAGATGAGAATCCTATATTCTACAATTTTTTAAATGTACTGAAATTATTCTTTTTGAATCCTCCTATTTATTTCTGTGACTTCTTTGGTGACAAAGTTAGAAAAAAGTGGAGGTCAGTAGGGAGATATGAAGGGACGCAGGTGGAAGCAGTGAGCCTGGGCGGGTGATGGAGTGGGCGATACGTGGCACAGGGGTCAGTGAGTTAATCTGGGCTCATTCAGAGAATGGAAGGTGTGTGCCAAGAAAACTGGTTGGATAGGGATAGGTCAGGGATTCCCTCTTGCATTCTCACACTTGGGGGCATGCGTCATTTTCTTTTCTTTTCTTTTCTTTTTTTTTTTTTTTTTTGAGACGGAGCATCGCTCTTTCTCCCAGGCTGGAGTGCAATGGCGCTATCTCGGCTCACTGCAACCTCCACCTCCCGGGTTCAAGCTATTCTCATGTCTCAGCCTTCCAAGTAGCTGGGACTACAGGTGCCTGCCACCATGCTCAGCTAATTTTTGTATTTTTAGTAGAGATGGGGTTTCACCATGTTGGTCAGGTTGGCCTCGAACTCCTGATCTCAGGTGATCCACCTGCCTCGGCTTCTCAAAGTGCTGGGATTCCAGGCATGAGCCACCATGCCTGGCCGCATGTGTCATTTTCTTGGGTGTTATACTGATCGTATATTTGCAGGTTTGCTTTTGTGACAGACTTCTTCTGGGGGAAAAAAAGTATCCTTCTATCTTTTTACTTTTGTCCAGTTCCAGGTATCCCTGTTTTTTTCTTCACTCTTCCTTCCTTGTTCATGGGAGTTTTTCTTGAGGACTTCAAGCCCAGCTTCGGAGAATCCTGGTTGTGTCATCTCATCTCCTTTCTGCTCTCTTCTCTACCTAGCCTTTCCACCCTCACACCTCCCGGGGTCTGAAAATGGAAAGATAAGGGTGTTTCCCTGAAAGTTGCTCTTCTGTGTGGGGATGACAGGTTCTAAAGACTCTTTTCTGGTCCCTGCCCTCATTGCCATGATTAATCAGTTAAGTGGCCCGAGGTTTTGTAACAGCACAGTCTTAAAATGCTTCTCCCAAGTTTAATTTCTCTCCATTTGACCTTTTAAGGATGTGAATTGGCTTTAAGCAGTAGACTCCCTTTAGTACGGCACTGTGAGCCTCTCAGTGAATCTGCTACATCCATTCCACCCACGGGTCTGGAAACTTGTCTGTTTACCTTTCCCTAAAAACCTAAGATATATTTTTAAGAAGTGCCTTGTAACTTTTCATATAGCCTTTCCCCTACTTTGGGTAGACTGTTTCTTACAGGAATTTGGTAGATCTTTCCAAAGAGAATTCTGTATCTCTATTTTTAAAGCATAAATCCTGTCAACTTTGGAGGAGAACTGATTTGGCTTGAGTCTTCTCAGACATGGGAACTTTTGACCTAAGTTTGTATTTTACATTGTTGAAAGGGAACTCCGGGATCCCAGAAAACATATGGACTGCAATTGGGTAAAGTTTCTGTTTCAGTACTTATTCCTACTTACTAGCCGTTTAATCTTGGTCAAGTCAGCCATGTGGCTCTCAACTTCCTCATCTGTAACATAAAAGGATTAGAGTAGACAATCTCTAACAAATGCTATAATACCACTGACAAATAATAATATTAGCTAATATGTGTAAGGCACTGTGTTTAGTGCTTTTTCCCTTAATACAATAGCTTTGAGATATAATTTATATACCATACAATTTACTTCTTAAAAAAGTACACAATTCAGTAATTTTAGTAGATAGGAGTAACCATCACCACAGTCAATTCTAGAATATTTTTATACATCAGAAGAAACCCTTTACCCATTATCAATTACTCTCCATTCCTCCTAACTCCCTCCCAGCCCTAGGCAACTACTAGTCTACTTTCTGTCTTTATTTGCCTCTTCTGGACATTTCATACAAATGGAAACATGCAGCATGTAGTAATTTATGACAGCTTCTTTCACTTAGCATGAGGTTTTCAAAGTTCATTGATGTGGTAGCATTTATCAGTACTCTGTGCCTTTTTATGGCTGAATAATATTTTATCATATGGATTTACCACATTTTATCATTTTATTTATCCATCATCAGTTGATTGACATTTGAGTTGCTTCTACTTTTTGAGTATTATCAATAATTCTGTTATGAACATTCTTGTATAATTTTTTGGTAAACATTTATCTTCATATTTCTTGGATATATACCTAGGAGCAGAATTGCTGCCTCAGATGGTAATGCTGTTTAACCTTTTCAGGAACTGTCAGACTGTTCTGAAGTGGGTACATTATTTTACATTCCAACCAGCAGTGTATGAGAATTCCAGTTTCTCCACATCCTCATCAACAGTTGTTATTGTCTGTCTTTTTTATTATATTCATCTGTAATGTGAAGTGTTTATCTCATTGTGGTTTTGATTTACATTTCCCTGATGGTTGATGATTTTCAACATCTTTTCATATACTTATTAGTCATTATGTATCTTCTTTGGAGAATGTCTGTTCAGATCCTTTACCTACTTTATAATTGGTTTATCTTTTTAATATTGAACTGTAATAGTTTTTAAAAAATATATCCTAAATACAAGTCTCTTATCAGATAATATGATTTGCAGATATTTTCTGTCATTCTATGTACTGTCTTTTCACATTCTTGATGATATACTTTTCAGCCCAAATGTTTTTAACTTGATGGAATACAATTTATTTTTTCTTTTGTTGCTTGTGCTTTCAGTCATATTTGTGAAAACTTTGCTTATCCCACATTACAAAGATTTACTATTTCTAAGTGATTTATAATTTTACCACCTACCTTTAGGTCTCTGATCCATTTTGAGTTAATTTTTATGTGCGAGGAGGGAGTCTAACTTGATTCTTTTACATGTGGATATTTAGTTGTCCCAGGACCATTTGTTGAATTAAGTGCCCAGAACAAGTACATCTATATATAGAGAAAGTAGATTAGTGGTTGTCAGAGACTGCAAGAAGTGGGGAATTGGAGAGTGACTGCCCATAGGTACAGGCATGCTTTTTGGCATTATGAAAATATACTGGAATTAGGTAGTGGTGATGGTTGCAGAACTTTTGGAATATGGTAAAAGACACTGAAATATATGCTTAAAAATGGTGATTTTTGTGATATATGAATTATACTATAGAACTAATAATAACAGTAATAAAGCAAGGTGTCTTTCCACATCTCCATGCCTTGTATTTTCATTAAAAAAAAAAAAAAAAAGCATTTCAGGGCCAGGCTCAGTGGTTTACTCCTGTAATCCCAGCACTTTTGGAGGCCTAGGTGGGAGGATCGCTTGAGGCCAGAAGTTCAAAACCAGCCTGAGCAACATAGCAAGACCTTGTCTCCATGAAAAATAAAAAACTAGCCAGAAATGGTGATGTGTGCCTAGAGTTCCAACTACTTGGAAAGCTGAGGCAGGAGGATCGCTTGAGCCTAGGAGTTCAAGGTTGCAGTGATCTATAATCACCACTGCACTCCAGCCTGGGTGACAGAACAAGACCCTGTCTCAAAAAAAAAAAAAAAAAAAAAAAAAGGCATCTCACTTTAATAGTAAGAGGCCAGAATATGATGCTGGTAGCATGTTGTGAGGAAATGTATTAGATGAAAGAAGTTAAATTCCAGTTCTCCTTTTTTCAGAAATGAGGTATAGGGGAGAGAAACACGTACTTGGAAAGAATTGACCCAGCTGAATTGGAAAATGTGGGAAGGGGATGGGGAAGAGGCTGCTCCACCTGAGATCTGGCTCCAGGACTTACAGCAAGGGGAACTTGGGCAAGTTACAGACTGTCTATGCCTCAGTTTCTTTATCAGCAAAACAGAATCATCCCATAAACTATAAGGTCGATGGTATCAGCGGGTCCCCAAACTGACTGCACATCTGAGTCATGTTAACAAACACATTCCAGGCCCCACCTGAGCCCTCTGAATGAGAATCCCTGTAAGGAGGACGATGAACTTGAATTTGCACTGACTTTCCCAGCTGTTTCTTACTCTGATCAACTTGGGGGTAGGACCCATTGAGCTGCATCACATCATTCCAAAGCCAAAACACAACAGCAGGACAAGAAGATTTTCAAGGCAGTCTCTAAAGCAGAGGAGAAACTGTTGAGTGAACCTAGAAGTAAAGGAGATCTGGCTTGCTGGACTCCATTTGAACTTTGAGTACAACAGAGACATGAGCCCTTCGGGACACATGCCTGAGGTAGTGACAGTCCAACTTTGGAAGAGTGGAAGCCCTAGTTTCAAATTCAAGCATGCTTTGAATATAAATTAAGTTTACCTCTTTTTGCACAGCAACATGGCCAATCTTTCCTAAGCTGCTCAGCTTACAAGAAAAGGAATCATACTGCTAAGAATTCAAACTTCAGCAGTCATAGGTAAGTAAGGAAGTCTTATAAACCTATTCTAGCCACCTAACTAGAAACTCGAAATTTAACAGGTTCTTTCAGTTTCAGGACAGTTGTGTTCACTAGATCAGAGGCATTGAGACATGAAGAACAGACCCTTAAAAAGGGAAAGTGTTCCCTTCAGTTTGAGGACATCACTGGAACATTAGGGAAGTGGGAACACAGCTGCTCACTCTACAGTGTGGGTTGCCTTTGTGTCTGGAATGTGTCTGACGTCCTGATCCCTGTGCACATTTCAGGGAGCCTTGGGAGGACCCCGAATCACTGATGGAATTGGGCAGTGCATGGAGATGGCTCAGCAGGATGAGGGTAAATGCAGGGGCAAGTCCAGGTCATACTGAGAGACAATGAGTGGCGCTGATGAGGACAAAGATAAAATCAAAAGTTTGTGCTTCATCTTCAAAAACTCAAGCTGATAACAAACTTGGCCTGATGAGAAATAATAAGTATTTTTCTATTTACATGAGAATTTAATCTCAAAACAGAAATCAGAAAAATATGAAGTCCAGGGCATAAAACCTAAAACTATTGCTCATATTTATTCTTTCTAAATAGAGCAAAGTGTAAAATCTTCTCCATAAGACATACATTGTGGTTATAAAAAGGCAAAAGTCTTAGTGAGAATCATTGGTATTCCATAGAAGAGTGAATTAAACACAGCCAAGGGAAGACCCATGTCTCATACTTCTCTTGTATATTCCAAAGTTCCAGGGAAATTCCAGGTGATAGAGGTTATTTCCCATACTGTTAAAGCAAGGTTTCAGACACTTCTGAATTTTGGTCCCAGTACTCTAGAAGGGCACACCTCTGTCCTGGAAAATAATACAGGAATGAATACTCTTCCCGTGACCCATTCTGGTCATTCTTCCAGCATCACAAAAACCAAAAAATGGAAATATGGCCAAATACGTGATTAGCTGTCCCTCATCTTCAGGTTTCTTATCTGTTACTTGTAGATAATAGCATTACCTTAAGGATTATGATGAAGATACAATGTCCAAATATAAACACAGTTTTGAGCAAAATGCCTTGTACGAATTGGTCAATGAATAATTACTAAATATGTGAATATTTACTGGATTGTATGGATCCTATGAATAATTACTGAATAATTATTGTGATTGCTTTTATTGGCAGTGCTGAAAACTCATCCCTTTGTGACCTCAAGTAACCCATGACACTTTGTGAACCTGCAGTTTTTTCATTTAGAAACTTGACAGATTTTCATTCTGACACAGAATGTCAGGTCTCCCAGACCCTAGAAAATACATTGACTTAAAGCCTTTGATACATCTCAAAGCAGTATCCTTACAGTGTCACTGGAAGATGGTGCGGGCTGCAGAGAGGGATGCTTTCAAATGGGATTAACCAGTCCTCCTTCCTTCACTTCCACATGAATGCTGGGCAGCCCAGGGTCAACCCACTGCACCCTCAACTCAGGCAAGTCCAGCAGCCAATCTTAGGAGACCTGGGCTACAGAACAGTCTCTCAAGTTCCAGGCTCACAAAACGTAGGTGGGGATGAAAGCTGAGAAAGCGAAGAGGTGGTTCAGAGGATCACTGTTTCCTACTTGTTCCTCTCACCTCAAACTCACCTTCTACTGCACAGCAACACTGAGGATCGCCAACCAACCCTGACCATAACCTTGATCTTGCCATGTTCTGTTAGTGGAATGCAACCCAAAATCAATGGTGTTAGGTCATCTCAACAAAATATATATCAAACCATATTCCATAAGAACTGCTCGTGGCCCTGTTCTTTTCAGTATATGGGAAAACAAAATGGAAACAACAAAATAGTATCAGGTTTACAAAACTTCCCAAGATAGATGGTCACACATGTTTTCAGGAGACCTCTATATAAATGATTTGATCACTTGATACCTTGAAAAGAGGTCTTGTGGCACTAGAATGACATCTATAAGTGACAAGTTTAAAATGTAGTGCTCAGTGACATTAAAAAACACATCAACCCACATAGAGGAAGAGCTTTGGACGTAGGGATGTCAAACTGGTCTAGAATGTAATGAAAACCCAAGAAGGTGCCCCAGTAAGAAAGAAGAAATCAATCTAACAATGGGATGCAGCAGCAAGAATACTGAGACAGGAAAGAAAATATTTTTAAAAAATGAATTATTCATTCACTTTCTAGTGGATACAGAAAAAACTGCAGAAGACCCGGAGGATATCAGGGCAGGCTAAAAGTTTGATATCTTACACCTGTGGAAAAGCCTTAAGCTCTGTTTTAACTGAGAGCAGGTGGGGTGACTTCATGACTACCATTAAGAAAATATAACCTGTTGGGAAACTGTTTCTGCCTTGATGATGTTGTACAGACAAGAGATAAACAGTGAGGAATATGCTTAGATGTATTGGGAAAGACACGGGTCTGTGGCATTGTCAACAAGGGTACACGAATACTGAGAGTGAATGCTGAAGGAATGATCCCCATTGGTGGTGACCCTCAGGTGAGACTAGGGTGCCTGTGTTTCAGCAAAGCCTGGGCAATTGGAATGCAGGGCTCCTAAGTTTCCATGACACCCCCACCTTCTAATTCTGTTATTGCAACTGCAGACGGTTACCTGGCACGCTGGCCACATTCTGCCTCACTCTTATCAGAGTCTGAGCTACTGGCAGTGCTTTCAGCTCTGAGTTGAGGCACCTCGAACCTTGTTTTTGTGGTGAAGGATCCTAAAGTGCTGTGGGGAGTGATCACATTTTTCACAACAGTAAGGTAAGAATTTCAGTTACTGACATCCCTCAGTCCTGATTAAACCGATTTGATTTCACCAGTTTTTAACCCATCATATGTTTGGGTTTCTTCTCCCCAGTCCCTGACTCCACCTCTTCTGCCACAAACGTCAGCATGGTGGTATCAGCCGGCCATTGGTCCAGTGAGAAGGCAGAGATGAACATTCTAGAAATCAACGAGACATTGCGCCCCCAGCTGCCAGAGAACAAACAGCAGTTGAGAAACCTCAAAGAGAAATGTTTTCTAACTCAACTGGCCGGCTTCCTGGCCAACCGACAGAAGAAATACAGTAAGATCTATAGGCTCACCATCATGAAAGTGATGAATGATATCCTGTCTTCTCTCTGAGACACTAAATGCTCTCTCCATCAAAAAGAATTTCATCCTTCCTGTACTTCTAGGAAAACAGAAATGGGTATTTTAACATTTTGTTAAAGTTGGAAGACAGAGGTACCAAAATATTTAGCAACTTTCCATGTTTGCAATCAGATGGGGGTGGAACTAGAGTTAAACTCACAGTTATTGATTTCTAACACAGGCACAGAATGACCTGTTTTCTCCAAGGGGCTCAATCATGTTTTTAAGAATCCTCTCTGTACCATATAAGATCCTGCAGACAAATAACATCTAGTCTGTTGTTCTAAATGTCTAGGACTAGTGAACTTTTATTCAGTTCAAGTTTCTGTTGAGGCCCAACAGGCAAAGCTCTGTTCTAGTGACTCTGAGGGGAACTTGGTGATAGTACCCAGTACCTGTTCTGAGGGGCTTCAAGGGGAGTCTGCTCCTAATAGAACCTGTGCTATCTATAAGTGACAGCATCAAGAGCAGGGAGTAGGGGCCGTGCAACGTGGCTCACTCCTATAATCTCAGCACTTTGGGAGGCTGAGGCGGGCAGAGCACGAGGTCAGCAGTTTGAGACTAGCCTGGGCAACATGGAGAAACCCCATCTCCACTAAAAATACAAAAAGTAGATGGGCATCGTGGCGGGCAACTGTAATCACCACTAATCGGGAGGCTGAGGCAGAAGAATCCTTTGAACCCAGCAGGCAGATGTTGCAGTGAGCCAAGATTGCACTATTGAACTCCAGCATGGGTGACAGGGCAAGACTCGTCAAAAAACAAACAAACAAAACGATAAATAAATCAAAAATAAAAATAAAAAGCAGAGAGTACCTTGGTGAGAGTGAAGTCCTGCTTCCTGGTGCACAGGCTCTTGTTCCTAAAGAGGAAGAAAGATCACACCCGAGAATGTGTGGAAGCAGCAGTGCAGTGTGCAAAGCAGGGACCCTCAGCCTGTCTCCTGGGCTCCATCCAAGTTGCTTGTCTTGTCTGTCCCTCAGTTTCCTCATCTGTTCAGAGGGTACTACAATAATACCTACCTCTGTAAATTGCTGCAATGAATTACATGAGGTATTTCCTGTCAATCTCCTTGAACATTAATTGGCACAGTGTAAACACTATCTATTCTTCATTCTGATGTTTCTAAATTAACACTAACTAAGCTTATGCTGTTTCTAAATTAACACAACTAATCTAAATCTTAATGCTGCCTCTCATACTAATAAAGTATTTGGGCATATTTCCTTCATGGCCTTATTGTCTTATGTCTCACACTTTATGCTTCAGATATGATTCTTAAAACCATATCTGAATATTGATTTAAAAATGAAATATTTTTAAAGTCCTTGACATATTTGTCCTTGAAATACCCAGTAAAAGGGAAACCATCAGTCCCATAGTCCTAGGGGCCTTCCCGACTGTACAAGAAATCACTACTTCATGCCCCAGTGCAGTGTTTTAGAGGAGAGGCTGCAAGGCTTGGGAAAGTGGCCCCGCATTCAGAGTCAGACCTCAGGGACTGTGAGTTCTGACTCCACTTCGTTGTGGTTGAATCATCTTGTCAACTTCCTTGATGCGCCCTTGAGTTTCTCTTTCTTCGTCTTTAAATTTTGGAGGATCAGATGCCAGAAAGTCAGGAGACTGAAGAGTAAAGATGTGGAAATCCCTGTCTAGACCCTGGTACTGGGGAGAGTTTTGTCCTTGGGATGGACCTGGCTCCTGCCCTGTAGGCAATGACCACAGCAGCATGTCCAGCCTTCCACTGAGGCAGGTGTGTCTGTCTTTTCTCAGAGTATGAAGAGTGTAAAGACCTCATAAAATTTATGCTGAGGAATGAGCGACAGTTCAAGGAGGAGAAGCTTGCAGAGCAGC
Organism: Homo sapiens; assembly: GCF_000001405.40. NCBI lineage: Eukaryota > Metazoa > Chordata > Mammalia > Primates > Hominidae > Homo > Homo sapiens. The sequence goes on from NW_025791753.1 coordinate 418,181, forward strand.
TCAAGCAAGCTGAGGAGCTCAGGTGAGGGGACCCCATGGGGGCAGGCAGGGGGGCAGGTGTGTAAATCTCTGAAGTACAGCAGCTCGGTGGGGAGACGTAAGAGCTAAGCTGGGCCAGGGGAAGGGCAGGAATTGCCATGGCAGGCTCGCTACACACAAATATTTATCAAACAGAGAAGGAGGATAGTAAAAATGTATGGGTTGCAGTTGTTTCTCAGAGCCTTGTTTTCTCTTTTTCAAACAAGTAATTGTTGATGTGAAATTTACATAACACAAAATTTACCAAAGGAGTGGGAACCACCCAGCAGCATTCAGTATAATCAAAATGGTGTGCCATCACCACCCCACTTACCCTTAGTGAGAATCACCTCCTGACTGACTGCGGCTTCTCATTCTTTCACTCAATCAATGTTGCCTTCTCGACCCTGTCATTCTTTTCTTCTTTCATCTTTTCAATTCGCCCCATCTGCACCTGGCCTCATTTCTGTACATGGCTTTGTATCTAGTGGCCGCAAGATGCACTATGTGTATTTTCACATGGAAATGTCCATGGCCAGAGTGAGGAACTGAAAGGATGTCTTTTTGAAACGGAATTAGGAAGACACCTACTTTTGTTTACAGAAGAGAAAGATGAATGGAACATCATCGAGGATCTTGCAGGAGCCCTCTCTGATACAGAGGAAGCCTGTAAACCATTTTCTATTCTTTCTCTTGGCCACAGACATTCCTTTCAACGTGTGCTGACCTTCTGTTTCAAGGTCTCCTTGAGGACATTGTCTCAGAAGTCTCTGTTGCAATATTTGAACGGATCACTCAACCCTTTCTACTCTTAAATTTTCTCTACCGTCTCACCTTAGGCAATATAAAGTCCTGGTTCACTCTCAGGAACGAGAGCTGACGCAGTTAAAGGAGAAGTTACGGGAAGGGAGAGATGCCTCCCGCTCATTGAATGAGCATCTCCAGGCCCTCCTCACTCCGGATGAGCCGGACAAGTCCCAGGGGCAGGACCTCCAAGAACAGCTGGCTGAGGGGTGTAGACTGGCACAGCACCTTGTCCAAAAGCTCAGCCCAGGTAAGGTGGCCATAGGCCCTGATGACCCAAAACCCCAGGCTTATGAGAGGCTCCAGACCTCCATACTTTCACAATGACAGTTGTATCAGTGGGGTTTTTTTCTACTACACCTATGTGGCCATGACATGATCAGGACTTCCTGGGTAAGCACAGAGATGGGAAACCCATGGGTTTGGAGGTCACAGTATTGCAAGTGTCCCTCCTTCCTTGATGGAAGGTGGTCTTTGGAGCAAGAGGCAGCATCTATCTAGTTTTAAAGGACAGGAAGGAGGCTGTGATGGGAGGGCGCTTGTTGGAGTGAAAAGAGCTCTGGGCTAAGAATGAAGGTTCCCAGGCTGTCTTTTTGGCAATGTTCTTAGTAAGTGTCAGTGAGTGAGTGATTTATCTTTCCAGAGTTTCTCTCTCTCCATCTGCAAAGGCAGACAAATTGTCTCTTGCAAGGGTCTGAAGCATCCAAATATGGGAACACTTACGAATGCTTTTCAAAATGAGATGAAGCCCCTCTCCATGTGGTGTTGGAGAAGGCACTTGATGTGGGGTCATTTGGTGGTAGGAAGTGCTTCAGACTGGAGCACTCCCCATGGATAGAATGTCCCTGAATAACACAGCAGAAGCCACATGGAGGGCCTGTGCAGTCTCATGACGCATAGAGGACTGTGGGACAAGTTTGTCCTCTCCTAAGAGAAAGAATGAGGTTTGAAATGCGAACTGTGACAGGACACCAAGCCTGTTCCTGGGAATCAGATCTGTGGCAGGATGGGGGAGACAGCTGCCAAAGTCCAGAGAGAGGCTGCACAAGCCTCCAGTGATATGGGAAGCAAAAGGTCTTTTCAGTATTTGGCCACATCTTGATGGTGGCCCTCCACATCAGAAATGCATTGCCCGATGGAGCAGGAAACCATGCCAGGGCATTTTGTGAAAGATAAAACATGAGAGTTTTCAGTACAATGCTGAACCATACATAGATGTTCATGTCTCTGTGCACGTTGGGCTGACTGTGCTTGCAGAATGTGAAGTGGGAAATATCTGAACGAACATTTTGTATTTATAGAAAATGACGAAGATGAGGATGAAGATGTTCAAGTTGAGGAGGATGAGAAAGTACTGGAATCATCTGCCCCCAGGTAACACTGAATACTCAGGAGCAAGTAATGGGTGGTAACATATGAAAATGTCTAGGAGGCACACCCTCTCTGGCATCTATGGTGGGCCAAAAGCCCACATCCCCTTGGCCACAGTATGTGAAATTCAACCCAGCTTAGACACAGGGTGCGGCAGCTGTCGTGTTTCTCTATGTGTGCCAAGTGTCATGTCTGTACCATACAGGGATAGCTGAGTCTTCATCCTCCTCAGCTCCTATCTGTCCAGTGCACTGAACACCAGCTGCTCTCTTCCTCTCTGGCTCCCATGGCAGCCATGCTCTGTTGCAGAGAGAAGCGGATTGCCTGTTTCCTCTTTAAGGGAACCTCCGTTTTGCTTTCTGGAACCACTCTCTTAATGCCGCCTGTCAAAACCAGCTAGGACTCCATGGGGTCCAATCCCTCTGTGTTTAATCTTCTGTCATCTCTGTCCCACCTGGCTCATCAGGGAGGTGCAGAAGACTGAAGAGAGCAAAGTCCCTGAGGACTCACTGGAGGAATGTGCCATCACTTGTTCAAATAGCCACGGCCCTTGTGACTCCAACCAGCCTCACAAGAACATCAAAATCACATTTGAGGAAGACGAAGTCAACTCAACTCTGGTTGTAGACAGAGAATCCTCTCATGATGAATGTCAGGATGCTCTAAACATTCTCCCAGGTAGCCTCTATTTTCCTTGTGTCTCATACCTCTGTCTAGGCTATGGAAGGTCAATTCTGAGGACAGGCTGTATATACACATATTGTTATTGTTTTAGTCAGAAACTGGGATGGAGCTAGGTGCTGTGACTCACACATATAATCACAGCACTTTGGAAGGCCCAAGTGGGACGATGACTTGAGTTCAGGAGTTGAAGACCAGCCTACACAATATGGTGAAACCCATCTTTACAAAGAATACAAAAAATTAGGCAGGCATGGTGCTGCATGCCTATAGTCCCAACTGCTCAGGAGACTTAGGTGGGAGGATGGGCTGAGATGATCCTCCCACTCTAATTCACTTCTGTCAGGCTAGACTCTCTCTCCTTTTCATTGGCTTGTCTTAGCTATTAATAAGTCTCGGCTGGGCGCAGTGGGTCACACCTGTAATCCGAGCACTTTGGGAGGCCGAGGCGGGTGGATCATGAGGTCAGGAGATTGAGACCATCCTGGCTAACACGGTGAAACCCCGTCTTTACTAAAAATACAAAAAAAAAAAAAATTAGCTGGGTGTGGTGGTGGGTGCCTGTAGTCCCAGCTACTCAGGAGGCTGAGGCAGGAGAATGGCATGAACCCAGGAACCGGAGCTTGCAGTGAGCCAAGATTGTGCCACTGCACTCCAGCCTGGGAGACAGAGCGAGACTCCATCTCAAAAAAAAAAAGTCTCTGACCAGGGGCGCTGGCTCACATCTTAATCCCAACACTTTGGGAGGCCGAGGTGGGCGGAACACCTGAGCTCAGGAGTTCAAAACCAGCCTGTCCAAGATGGCGAAACCCCATCTCTACTAAAAATACAAAAATTAGCTGGCATGTTACTTGGCGCTTGTAATCCCAGATGCTTGGCAGGCTGAGGGATGAGAATCACTTGAACCCGGGCGGCAGAGGTGGCAGTGAGCTGAGATTGTGCCTCTGCACTGCAGCCTGCGCGACAGAGTGAGACTCCGTCTCAAACAAAAAAACCAAAAAAGAAAATTAAGCAAAACGAAATCTTTTGTGCTACACAGAAACATTGGCCACTCATGGGGTAAAAATCTCAGGGCCAAGCCTTGCTTTATAGAAACGTATAAGCAAGAAAAGTGTAGAAGTGTTTATGTCTTGGTTTCAAGGTGACTGCATAGCTAAGACAAGTTGACTTAAAGGAGATCAAGACTGGAGATGACAAGAGTGAAACCAGGGAAACATCTTCAAATAAGTAAACAAGGCTACCAGTGACATCCCTCAGTCCTGATTAAGCCTATTTGATTTCACCAGTTTTTAACCCATCATGTGTTTGCCTTTCTTCTCCCCAGTCCCTGGCCCCACCTCTTCTGCCACAAACGTCAGCATGGTGGTATCAGCCGGCCCTTTGTCCGGCGAGAAGGCAGCGATAAACATTCTAGAAATCAATGAGAAATTGCGCCCCCAGCTGGCAGAGAAGAAACAGCAGTTCAGAAACCTCAAAGAGAAATGTTTTCTAACTCAACTGGCCGGCTTCCTGGCCAACCAGCAGAACAAATACAGTAAGATCTATTGGCTCACCATCACGAAAGTGATGAACGAGGTCCTGTCTTCTCTCTGAGACACTAAATGCTCTCTCCATCAAAAATAATGTCATCCTCCCCGTACTTCTAGGAAAACAGAAATGGGTATTTTAACATTTTGTCAAAGTTGGAAGACAGAGGTACCAAAGTATTTAGCAACTTTCCATGTTTGCAATCAGGTGGGGGTGGGACTAGAGTTAAACTGCCATTTATTGATTTCTGACACAGGCACAGAATGACCTGTTTTCTCCAAGAGGCTCAATCGTGTTTTCAAGAATCCTCTCTGTACCATATAAGATCCTGCAGACAAATAACATCTAGTCTGTTGTTCTAAATGTCTGAGACTAGTGAACTTTTATTCAGTTCAAGTTTCTGTTGAGGCCCAACAGGCAAAGCTCTGTTCTAGTGACTCTGAGGGAAACTTGGTGATAGTAGCCAGTACCTGCTCTGAGGGGCTTCAAGAGGAGTCTACCCCTAATAGAACCTGTGCTGTCTATAAATGACAGCATCAAGAGCAGGGAGTAGGGGCCGTGCATGGTGGCTCACTCCTGTAATCCCAGCACTTTGGGAGGCTGAGGCGGGCAGATCATGAGGTCAGGAGTTTGAGACCAGCCTGGGCAACATGGAGAAACCCCATCTCCACTAAAAATACAAAAAGTAGATGGGCGTGGTGGCAGGTGACTGTAATCACCCCTGCTCAGGAGGCTGAGGCAGGAGAATCCTTTGAACCCAGGAGGCTGAGGTTGCAGTGAGCCAAGATTTTGCCATTGCACTCCAGCCTGGGCGACAGGGCAAGACTGCTAAAAATAATAATAATAATAATAATAATAATAATAATAATAAATAAAAATAAGAATAAAAAGCAGAGAGTAGCTTGGTGAGAGTGAAGTCCTGCTTCCTGGGGCACAGAGTCTTGTTGCTAAAGAGGAAGAAAGATCGCACCCGAGAATGTGTGGAGATAGCAGTGCAGTGTACAGAGCAGGGACCGTGGGCCTGTCTCCTGGGCTCCATCCAAGTTGCTTGTCTTGTCTGTCCCTCAGTTTCCTCACCTGTTCAGAGGGTACTACAATAATACCTACCTCTGTAAATTGCTGCAGTGAATTACATGAGCTATTTCTTGTCAATCTCCTAGAACATTTATTGGCACAGAGTAAACACTATCTATTAGTTCTTCATTCTGCTGTTTCTAAATTAACACAAACTTTATTAACATTTGGGCATATTTCCTTCATGGCCTAATGGTGTTATGTGTCACACTTTATGCTTCAGATATGATTCTTAAAATCATAACTGGAGATATGATTTAAAAATCAAAGATTTTAAAAATCTTTCGCATACTTGTCCTTGAAATTCCCAGTAAAAGGGAAACCATCAGTCCCATAGTCCTAGGGGCTTTCCCAACTGTACAAGAAATCACTACTTCATGCCCCAGTGCAGTGTTTTAGAGGAGAGGCTGCAAGGCTTGGGAAAGTGGCCCCGCATTCAGAGTCAGACCTCAGGGACTGTGAATTCTGACTCCACTTCGTTGTGGTTGAATCATCTTGTCAACTTCCTTGATGTGCCCTTGAGGTTCTCTTTCTTCATCTCTAAATTTTGGAGGATCAGATGCCAGAAAGTCAGGAGACTGAAGAGTAAAGATGTGGAAATCCCTGTCTAGACCCTGGTACTGGGGAGAGTTTTGTCCTTGGGATGGACCTGGCTCCTGTCCTGTAGGCAATGACCACAGCAGCATGTCCAGCCTTCCACTGAGGCAGGTGTGTCTGTCTTTTCTCAGAATATGAAGAGTGCAAAGATCTCATAAAATCTATGCTGAGGAATGAGCGACAGTTCAAGGAGGAGAAGCTTGCAGAGCAGCTCAAGCAAGCTGAGGAGCTCAGGTGAGGGGACCCCATGGGGGCAGGCAGGGGGGCAGGTGTGTAAATCTCTGAAGTACAGCAGCTCGGTGGGGAGACGTAAGAGCTAAGCTGGGCCAGGGGAAGGGCAGGAATTGCCATGGCAGGCTCGCTACACACAAATATTTATCAAACAGAGAAGGAGGATAGTAAAAATGTATGGGTTGCAGTTGTTTCTCAGAGCCTTGTTTTCTCTTTTTCAAACAAGTAATTGTTGATGTGAAATTTACATAACACAAAATTAACCAAAGGAGTGTGAACCACACAGCAGCATTCAGTATACTCAAAATGGTGTGCCATCACCACCCCACTTACCCTTAGTGAGAATCACCTCCTGACTGACTGCGGCTTCTCATTCTTTCACTCAATCAATGTTGCCTTCTCGACCCTGTCATTCTTTTCTTCTTTCTTCTTTTCAATTCGCCCCATCTGCACCTGGCCTCATTTCTGTACATGGCTTTGTATCTAGTGGCCGCAAGATGCACTATGTGTATTTTCACATGGAAATGTCCATGGCCAGAGTGAGGAACTGAAAGGATGTCTTTTTGAAAGGGAATTAGGAAGACACCTACTTTTGTTTACAGAAGAGAAAGATGAATGGAACATCATCGAGGATCTTGCAAGAGCCCTCTCTGATTCAGAGGAAGCCTGTAAACCATTTTCTATTCTTTCTCTTGGCCACAGACATTCCTTTAAACATGTGCTGACCTTCTGCTTCGAGGTCTCCTTGAGGACATTGTCTCAGAAATCTCTGTTGCAATATTTGAGCGGATCACTCAACCCTTTCTACTCTTAAATTTTCTCTACCGTCTCACCTTAGGCAATATAAAGTCCTGGTTCACGCTCAGGAACGAGAGCTGACCCAGTTAAGGGAGAAGTTGCGGGAAGGGAGAGATGCCTCCCGCTCATTGAATGAGCATCTCCAGGCCCTCCTCACTCCGGATGAGCCGGACAAGTCCCAGGGGCAGGACCTCCAAGAACAGCTGGCTGAGGGGTGTAGACTGGCACAGCACCTTGTCCAAAAGCTCAGCCCAGGTAAGGTGGCCATAGGCCCTGATGACCCAAAATCCCAGGCTTATGAGAGACTCCAGACCTCCATACTTTCACAATGACAGTTGTATCAGTGGTGTTTTTTTCCACTAAGCTTATGTGGCCATGACATGACCAGGACTTCTTGGGTAAGAACAGAGATGGGAAACCCATGGGGTTGGAGGTCACAGTATTGCAAGTGTCCCTCCTTCCTTGATGGAAGGTGGTCTTTGGAGCAAGAGGCAGCATCTATCTAGTTTTAAAGGACAGGAAGGAGGCTGGGATGGGAGCAGGCTTGTTAGAGTGAAAAGAGCTCTGGACTAAGAATGAAGGTTCCCAGGCTGTCTTTTCGACAATGTTCTTAGTAACTGTCAGAGAGTGAATGACTTGTCCTTCCTGAGTTTCTCTCTCTCCGTGGCAGACAAATTGTCTCTTGCAAGTGTCTGAAGCATTCAAATGTGGGAACACTTACAACTGCTTTCCAAAATGAGATGAAGTCCCTCGCCGTGTGATGTTGGAGAAGGCACTTTATGTGGGGGCGTTTTGTGGTAGGAAGTGCTTCAGACTGGAGCACTCCCCATGGATAGAATGTCCCTGAAGAACACAGCAGAAGCCACTTGGAGGCTTGAAATCTTCTGATGCATAGAGGACTGTGGGACAAGTTTGTCTGCTTCTAAGAGAAAGAATTAGGTTTGAAATGCAAACCGTGACAGGACACCAAGCCTGTGCCTGGGAATCAGATCTGGCAGGATGGGGGAGACAGCTGCCAACGTCCAGAGAGAGGCTGCACAAGCCTCCAGTGATATGGGAAGCAAAAGGTCTTTTCAATATTTGGCCACATCTTGATGGTGGCCCTCCAGATCAGAAATGCATTGCCTGATGGATCAGGAAACCATGCCAGGGCATTCTGTTAAAGATAAATCATGAGAGTTTTCAGTTGAACGGTGACCCATGCCTAGATGTTCATGTCTCTGTTGCACATTGGGCTGACTGTGCTTGCAGACTGTGAAGTGGGAAATATCTGAACGAACACTTCTGTATTTACAGAAAATGACAACGATGACGATGAAGATGTTCAAGTTGAGGTGGCTGAGAAAGTGCAGAAATCGTCTGCCCCCAGGTAACACTGAATACTCAGGAACAATTAATGGATGGTAACATATGAGGAATATCTAGGAGGCACACCCTCTCTGGCATCTATGATGGACCAAAAACCCGCATTCGCTTGGCCACAGTATGTGAAATATAACCCAGCTTAGACACAGGGTGCGGTAGCTGTCATGTTTCTCTATGTGTGCCGAGTGTCATGTCTGCACCGTACAGGGATAGCTGAGTCTTCATCCTCCTCAGCTCCTATCTGTCCAGTGCAATGAACAGCAGCTGCTCTCTTCCTCTCTGGTTCCCATGGCAGCCATGCTCTGTTGCAGAGAGAACAGGATTGCATGTTCCCTCTTAATGGGAACCTCCATTTTGCTTTCTGGGACCACTCTCTTAATGCCGCCTGTCAAAACCAGCTAGGACTCCCTGGGGTCCAATCCCTCTGTGTTTAATCTTCTGTCATCTCTGTCCCACCTGGCTCATCAGGGAGATGCAGAAGGCTGAAGAAAAGGAAGTCCCTGAGGACTCACTGGAGGAATGTGCCATCACTTGTTCAAATAGCCATGGCCCTTATGACTGCAACCAGCCACATAGGAAAACCAAAATCACATTTGAGGAAGACAAAGTCGACTCAACTCTCATTGGCTCATCCTCTCATGTTGAATGGGAGGATGCTGTACACATTATTCCAGGTAGCCTCTGTTTTCCTTGTGTCTCATACCTCTTTCTTGGCTGAGGAAGATAAACTCTGAAGACAGGCTCTATAAACACAAATTCATTTGAATAAAAAACTGTGATGGGTTTCTAAACAGATATCAGGGAGTTTTTTGTCCTTCTCAGCTAATGTCATGACTTTGTCTGCCAGTCCCCAGTATCAAGTTACTCAACCCCAGGCAAGTGTGACAATCTCATAGTCACCTGAGTGCAGGAGGTGCACAGGCAGTATCTGTCAGGCCTCCTAGCTTCGATTCAATATCTCTTGTCATCTGTGATTAAGTCATCTGTCCCTGAACAATGTCCATGGAGTTTCTATGCCTGTTTAAGGAAGCTGGCAGCCTTGCCTTTGTATTTGGAAATATTGTTCACCAGGCTTCACTGCTCTCAGCTTTCATCTGGATCTCCTTTAAGTCAGCTTGCTTAGCTGCACAGTCACCCTGAAATCAGGACAGAAACTTTTCTTCTTTACTTTGCTGATATATTTCCATAAAGCAAGGCTGGACCCTGGTTCTCCACCCTGTCAATGCAATGGCTGATCCAATGTTTCTTTGTAGCATCGTGGATTTTTTTTTTTTTTTTTTTTTTTTTTTTTTTGCGATGGAGTCTTGCTCTGTCACCCAGGCTGGAGTGCAGTGGCACCATCTTGGCTTGGTGCAACCTCTGCCTCCCAGATTCAAGTGATTCTCCTGCCTCAGCCTCCTGAGTTGCTGGGACCACAGGTGCACAACATCACATCTGGCTAATTTTTGTATTTTTAGTAGAGACAGGGTTTCCCCATATTGGCCAGGGTAGTCCTGAACTCATGACCTCAAATGATTCACCTGTCTTGGCCTCCCAAATCACAGATTCTTTTTAAAGCAAGAGTTGTTCAAATTTATCTATCAGTCGTGTTTCATGTATAGATGCCTCTAAACATTTAATGTCCATGTTACCTGGTGATATAAGTCCATATCGCAGCAACACTCTTAGAAAATTGTTTGACCAATTTTTGGAGATTTTTTTGGGGAAAAAATTTTGTTTAACTTTGACTCAAGCAGGGAATATGGCATTATGGTCTACACATAGAGGGAGATTTTGGCCTGTGGGTCTGGAAAGCAGGGTCATCTAATTCTCACCAAAGTTAATCTAGGACAACCTAGAATATTCCTGTCAGAATCCTTATTCTTGCACTGAGAATAGTTATGTCCTTGTGCTATGACTGGACAGTGATTTGTTCATATGTGAAGTATGAATTGCTTAATGTGACCTGCTTCTCTGAATTTATTTACAGAAAATGAAAGTGATGATGAGGAAGAGGAAGAAAAAGGACCAGTGTCTCCCAGGTAATGTTGTGGAATTGTTGGCTGTTAATTCAGTAGTGACATCTGGAGATTGTAGATTTAGGGAAAATGAGGAAGTGATGAATAGAACTATTTCTTCCATTCACCCAGCTACAAATTGTGCTGATTTACAATGTTGTATGTTATTTGTGGCACTTGTATTGGTTTTAATTTCATAGTCCTCTCAAGATAGGAACTTGCCATCAGATGAGCCAGGTGAACTAGCCAAACAGGGTTTTCTTGTTGATCTTTTCAAAAAACCAGCCCTGGATTCATTGATTTTTTGAAGGGTTTTTTGTGTCTCTCTCTCCTTTAGTTCTGCTCTGATCTTAGTTACTTCTTGTCTTCTGCTAGCTTTTGAATTTGTTTGCTTTGCTTCTCTCGTTATTTTAATTGTGATGTTAGGGTGTCAATTTTAGGTCTTTTCTGCTTTCTCTTGTGGGCATTTAGTGCTATAATTTTCCCTCTACACATTGCTTTAAATGTGTCCCAGAGATTCTGGTATGTTGTATCTTTGTTCTCATTGGTTTCAAAGAACATCTTTATTTCTGCCTTCATTTTGTTATTTTCCCAGTAGTCATTCAGGAGCAGGTTGTTCAGTTTCCATGTAGTTGTGCGGTTTTGAGTGAGTTTCTTAATCCTGAGTTCTAATTTGATGGCACTGTGGTCTGACAGTTTGTTGTGATTTCCATTCTTTTACATTTGCTGACGAGTGCTTTACCTCCAACTATGTGGTCAATTTTGGAATAAGTGTGATGTGGTGCTGAGAAGAATGTATATTCTGTTGATTTGGTGTGGAGAGTTCTGTAGATGTCTTTTAGGTCTGCTTGGTGGAGAGCTGAGTTCAAGTCCTGGATATCCTTGTTAAGCTTCTGTCTCATTGATCTGTTTAATATTGACAGTGGGGTGTTAAAGTCTCCCATGATGATTTTGTGGAGTCTAAATCTCTTTGTAGGTCTCTCAGGACTTGCTTTATGAATCTGGGTGCTCCTGTTTAGGGTGCATATATATTTAGGATAGTTAACTCTTCTTGTTGAATTGATCCCTTTACCATTATGTAGTGGCCTTCTTTGTCTCTTTTGATCTTTGTTGGTTTAAAGTCTGTTTTATCAGAGACTAGGATTGCAACCCCTGCCTTTTTTTTGTTTTCCATTTGCTTGGTAGATCTTCCTCCATCCCTTTATTTTGAGCCTATGTGTGTCTCTGCATGTGAGATGGGTTTCCTGAGTACAGCACACTGATGGGTCTTGACTCTTTATCCAATTTGCCATTCTGTGTTTTTTAACTGGGGCATTTAGCCCATTTACATTTAAGGTTAATATTGTTATGTGTGAATTTGATCCTGTCGTTATGATGTTAGCTGGTTATTTCGCCCGTTAGTTGATGCAGTTTCTTCCTAGCGTCAATGGTCTTTACAGTTTGGCATGTTTTTGCAGTGGCTGGTACCGATTGTTCCTTTCCATGTTTAGTGCTTCCTTTAGGAGCTCTTGTAAGGCAGGCCTGGTGGTGACAAAATCTCTCAGCATTTGCTTCTCTGTAAAGGATTTATTTCTCCTTCACTTATGAAGCTTTGTTTGGCTGGATATGAAATTCTTGGATGAAAATTCTTTTCTTTAAGAATGTTGAAGATGCTGGAGAGGATGTGGAGAAATAGGAACACTTTTACACTGTTGGTGGGACTGTAAACTAGTTCAACGATTGTGGAAGGCAGTGTGGCAATTCCTCAGAGATCTAGAACTAGAAATACCATTTGACCCAGCCATCCCATTACTGGGTGTATACCCAAAGGATTATAAATCATGCTGCTGTAAAGACACATGCACACATATGTTTATTGCGGCACTATTCACAATAGCAAAGACTTGGAACCAAGCCAAATATCCAGCAATGATAGACTGGATTAAGAAAATGTGGCACATATACACCATGGAATACTATGCAGCTATAAAAAATGATGAGTTCATGTCCTTTGTAGGGGCATGGATGAAGCTGGAAACCATCATTCTCAGCAAACTATTGCAAGGACAAAAAACCAAATACCGCATGTTCTTACTCACAGGTGGGAATTGAACAATGAGAACACATGGACACAGAAAGGGGAACATCACACACTGGGGCCTGTTGTAGGGTGGGGGGAGGGGGGAGGGGTAGCATTAGGAGATATACCTAATGTTAAATGATGAGTTAATGGGTGAAGCACACCAATGTGGACATGTATACATATGTAACTAACCTGCACGTTGTGCACATGTACCCTAAGACTTAAAGTATTAAAAATATATATATATATATATATATATATATATATATATATATATACATACACACAAAAAATAATAAAGGAAAACTATACATATGGAAAAAAAAAAGAATGTTGAATATTGCTCCCACTCTCTTCTGGCTTGTAGGGTTTGTGCCAAGAGATCTGCTGCTAGTCTGATGGGTTTCCCTTTGTGGGTAATCCGACCTTTCTCTCTGGCTGCCCTTAGCATTTTTTCCTTCATTTCAACCTTGGTGAATCTGACAATTACGTGTTTTGGGGTTGCTCTTCTCGAGGAGTATCTTTATGGTGTTCTCTGTGTTTCCTGAATTTGAATGTTGGCCTTCCTTGCTAGGTTGGGGAAGTCCTCCTGGATAATATCCTGAAGAATGTTTCCCAGCTTGGTTCCATTCTCCCCGTCACTTTCAGTACACCAATCAAACGTAGATTTGGTCTTTCCACATAGTCCCATATTTATTGGAGGCTTGTTCATTTCTTTTTACTCTTTTTTCTCTAAACTTCTCTTCTCGCTTCATTTCACTAATTTGATCTTGAATCACTGATACCGTTTCTTGCACTTGATCGAATTGGCTACTGAAGCTTGTGCATGCATCACATAGTTCTCGTGCCATGGTTTTCAGCTCCATCAGGTCATTTAAGGTCTTCTCTACACTGTTCATTCTGGTTAGCCATTCGTCTAATCTTTTTTCAAGGTTTTTAGCTTCCTTGCGATGAGTTCGCACATCCTCCTTTAGCTCAGAGAAGTTTGTTATTACCGACTTTCTGAAGCCTACTTCTGTCAGCTCATCAAAGTCATTCTCCATCCTGCTTTGTTCCATTGCTGGCGAGGAGCTGCGATCCTTTGGAGGAGAAGGGATGTCAGGTTTTTGGAATTTTCAGCTTTTGTGCTCTGGTTTCTCCCCACCTTTGTGGTTTTATCTACCCTTGGTCTTTGATGATGGCGACCTACAGATGGGGTTTTGGGGTGGATGTCTTTTTTGTTGATGTTGATGCTATTCCTTTCTGTGTGTTAGTTTTCCTTCTAACAGTCAGGTCCCTCAGCTTCAGGTCTGTTGGAGTTTGCTGGAAGTCCACTCCAGACCCTCAAACAGGGATTTCTTGGTGTTGCCTATTCTCTCCCATGTGTTTAAATCCAGGGAGAGGTGTATATATGCTTTCTTCCTATTTGTTGGTAGTATGTTGGCTAGTATTTTTGCAAGAAAAGAAATTGAAAAAGTAAATATATTATATCAAAATATTGGGAAAATGGGGCCCTTAATACACAAGATCTGTGTCTGCACTGCGTCAAGAACTCTCTTCACTTGAATGCTGCATGTAAAATTCAACCCAATTTATGCAAAGTAGTTGAAGCCCTGTGTCAGTTCTCTGTGCTGCAAGTCATGATGGTAGTTTACAGGGAGAGTCTGGGTGCCCTGAGTTGGCTCATCTGTGGCAAATGTACTGAGCACACGCTGCCCATTTTTGCTCTGTCCCCAGAGCAGTCACCCTCCACCCTGTATTTAGAAGGATAGTTTTATTCCTCTTGAAGGAAAAATGCCTTTGGTTTCTGTGACCACTCCATTCTGTCTCCCATCAGATCATCTGGGAGGTTTTGTTGTCTAAAGTCTGTTGGTTAAATCTTCTGTCATCCCTGTCCTGCCTGGCTCATCAGGAATCTGCAGGAGTCTGAAGAGGAGGAAGTCCCCCAGGAGTCCTGGGATGAAGGTTATTCGACTCTCTCAATTCCTCCTGAAATGTTAGCCTCGTACAAGTCTTACAGCAGCACATTTCACTCATTAGAGGAACAGCAAGTCTGCATGGCTGTTGACATAGGCAGTGAGTACTCCATTGTGAAGGTGATAAAGCTCCAGTTCATGGCCCAGGTAGACCCCATAATCTTTGGGCCTTGTGCCCCTTCTTGGGCTGAGATTTGCCATCACTGTGGGCTGAACCTATATATCAATGTAGATTTCAATCACTCTGGAGTCGAGTCTGAAGCACAGGCATGGGGTGGGTCAGTGAGCTTTGCTCTCTTCCTAGTCTCAGGCCATGCCCGTGCCAACCTGGACTGACTGTCACGACATTGAACTCAAGGCAGGTGTGGCAAACTCACACCAAACTATGCAGCACATGCCCAGGAGTTGTCTGTCAGCTCAGCTCATCTGAATTAAATGTCTCTTGCCAGCTACAAAATTCCTTATGAGTTTTGTTCCCAAAGCATGTCTGTGTGGTTCTTTACCTGCCCAAGGCCAGTGTCACCCTTGTCTACCTCTCAGTGAAAGATGTGACCCAGGTTTCACTGAATTTATTCCCATTTTCTGTGTCTTCTAAGTTCGCTTGTTTTAGCTCATCTGTCCGTCATGTTCCTGGTATGTTTTCTAGATAAATGGCTGACTTTTCACCCACAAAAGCCATAATAGCTGATGCTTCTGTGTAGAACCAAGTTTCATTTTGACTCAAGAGCTGGTACATTGCACCCTTTCATCAAATCTCTGTGTCCACAATCTCATAAACTATCAAATTCTGGGTATTTAATGAGAAAAGCCTAATATTGAAGTATCTCTCCTATGAGGTGTTAGAACTATTTGCCTACAATTTATTGGGGAAAAAATTGCTCATTTGTGTACATAAACCTAGGACAGAGCACATAGGGAAGATAACATTCCAACACAGGGGAATTTTGCCCAAGGCTCATGAAAGAACCCAAGCCAGTTTTCTCAAGACTTGACCTCAGGCCTACTGGAATATTTCTCTCAAAGTCTCCTGTTCTCACACTGACAAGACTGATGTCCCTGTGTTAGGATTGGACAGAGGAATGTTTCTGTGTGCAAGGAAGAACTGCTTAATGTAAGAGGGCCCATCTGAATTTATTTGCAGGACATCGGTGGGATCAAGTGAAAAAGGAGGACCACGAGGCAACAGGTCCCAGGTGAGTCTGAGAAATTGTGGACAGTTAATTTGATGTTGACACCTGGAGATGCCAAGTCCAGGGAAAACAGTACATGCTGAAAATAATGATTTTGTCTTGTCAGACAAGTCTGAATTATGCCTACTACATTGCTTTTTGGTTCTCATTAGAGTAAATCTTTAGGTTTCCATTTCTTCCTACCCTTATCATTTACTAACCTAGTGAAAGTTGACCATACCTCAAAAGCTGTATTCTCATGGTAACTGCAGGGAAACTTGACCACATTTTACGCAAAATTATTGAGGACATGCTTTTCATGATCACTGTTCACTGTGTGTCCTGAGAGCACAAATACAGAGTGTCCTTTGACTCCCTCATCAGTGTGTCACCTGACCAATTCACTGAGCTCGCTCTGTGTGTGTGTGTGTGTGTGTGTGTGTGTGTGTGTGTGTCTTTCATCTTTTTCTACCTGGCCCTGTTCTATCCCAACATAAAGGCAATAATCTGTTACCTCATTAATGGATCTGTCCTTTTTCTTTTCAAACTCTTCCTTACATTAGCCATGAAATCTAGCTGGGGCTGTGTGGTTTCTGATTCCCCCTGGCTTATTCTTTACTTTTTCCCACTTTTCCAGGCTCAGCAGAGAGCTGCTGGATGAGAAAGGGCCTGAAGTCTTGCAGGACTCACTGGATAGATGTTATTCAACTCCTTCAGGTTGTCTTGAACTGACTGACTCATGCCAGCCCTACAGAAGTGCCTTTTACGTATTGGAGCAACAGCGTGTTGGCTTGGCTGTTGACATGGATGGTGAGTACCTTTCTATGAAGGTGATAAGGATCCACTGAGTCTTCTGGTTAGGGTCATATTCCTACTGCAAGTGGCCCTTACTGAGCTGAGAGATGTCATTGCCACAGGGAGGACCTATAGGCACATGTAGGTTGAATGAAACTCTAGTTCCACTTGGAAGCCCAGACAAGGGATGGGTCAGTGAGCAAGGCTCTCTTCCTAGTCTCAGGCCATGCCTGTGGCACCCTAATCCTACTCTCATGACATTGGACCTGGGCAGATGTGACAAATTCACACAACTCTGATTTTGTCTCAATTTTGTAGATCTTGTAGATTTCATCCTTCACTCTAATTTCAGCGTCTAAAATCCTCACTACCATGAACAATCTGAGTATTTGATGAGACAGGGCTGAATAGTGCAGTTTTTCTCCTAGCAACCATTTGGGGGCATTTGCTTTAAATCGATTGGAAAAATATGGCATAACCATTTGCACAAACTTGGGACAAATGATATTGGGATAACGATCTACCAGAATAGGGAATTTTACCCACAGTTTCTGGGACAAAAACCAAGGAATCTCTATGGTGATCAGCCTTCAGGCCTCCTGAAGAATATCTCTCACAGTGTCCTATTCTCATGCTGAGGAGCCTGAAGTCCCTGTGTGAGGATTAGACAGTGGATTGTTATGTGTGTAGGAGAACCAGCTTAATATGTCTGTCCATGTCTGAACTTATTGCAGAAATTGAAAAGTACCAAGAAGTGGAAGAAGACCAAGACCCATCATGCCCCAGGTAACTTTGAGCAATTATGGATGCTTAATTCTGTGTTGACACCTGGAGATGCCAGGTCCAGGGAAAACAAGAGTGTATTCAATTTCATGTTTTCAACGAAGGTTGAATTACGCCTACTGACATTGCTGTTGGTTTTCATTGCAGTAGATGTTTAGGTTTCCATTTCTTCCTCCCCTTATCATTTAGTAACTTACTATAGGTTGACCATACCTCAAAGGCTGTATGGCAACTGCATGGAATCTTGAGCAAGTTTATGGAAAATTATTGAGCCCACTCTTTTCATGATCACTGTTCGCTGTGTGTCCCGAGGGCACTAACTCAGAGTGTCCTTTGACCCCTTCATCTGTGTGTCACCCGGCCAATTCACTGAGCTCACTTTCTCCTCTCTCTCTCTCTCCCTCTCCCTGTCTTTCTCTTTCGTTCTTTTCTACCTGGCCCTGGTTTATCCCAACCTAAAGGCAATAATTCATTCCCTCAGTAATGGATCTGTCCTTTTTCTTTTTAAACAGTTCCTTATCTTAGCCATGAAATCTAGCTGGAGCTGTGTGGTTTCTGATTCCCCCTGGCTTATTCTTTACTTTTTCCCACTTTTCCAGGCTCAGCGGGGAGCTGTTGGATGAGAAAGAGCCTGAAGTCTTGCAGGAGTCACTGGATAGATGCTATTCAACTCCTTCAGGTTGTCTTGAACTGACTGACTCATGCCAGCCCTACAGAAGTGCCTTTTACATATTGGAGCAACAGCGTGTTGGCTTGGCTGTTGACATGGATGGTGAGTACCTTTCTATGAAGGTGATAAGGATCCACTGAGTCTTCTGGTTAGGGTCATATTCCTACTGCAAGTGGCCCTTACTGAGCTGAGGGATGTCATTGCCACAGGGAGGACCTATAGGCACATGTAGGTTGAATGAAGCTCTAGTTCCACTTGGAAGCCCAGACAAGGGATGGGTCAGTGAGCAAGGCGCTCTTCCTAGTCTCAGGCCATGCCTGTGGCGCCCTAATCCTACTCTCATGACATTGGACCTGGGCAGATGTGACAAATTCACACAACTCTGATTTTGTCTCAATTTTGTAGATCTTGTAGATTTCATCCTTCACTCTAATTTCAGCGTCTAAAATCCTCGCTACCATGAACAATCTGAGTATTTGATGAGACAGGGCTGAATAGTGCAGTTTTTCTCCTAGCAACCATTTGGGGGCATTTGCTTTAAATCGATTGGAAAAATATGGCATAACCATTTGCACAAACTTGGGACAAATGATATTGGGATAACGATCTACCAGAATAGGGAATTTTACCCACAGTTTCTGGGACAAAAACCAAGGAATCTCTATGGTGATCAGCCTTCAGGCCTCCTGAAGAATATCTCTCACAGTGTCCTATTCTCATGCTGAGGAGCCTGAAGTCCCTGTGTGAGGATTAGACAGTGGATTGTTATGTGTGTAGGAGAACCAGCTTAATATGTCTGTCCATGTCTGAACTTATTGCAGAAATTGAAAAGTACCAAGAAGTGGAAGAAGACCAAGACCCATCATGCCCCAGGTAACTTTGAGCAATTATGGATGCTTAATTCTGTGTTGACACCTGGAGATGCCAGGTCCAGGGAAAACAAGAGTGTGTTCAATTTCATGTTTTCAACGAAGGTTGAATTACTCCTACTGACATTGCTGTTGGTTTTCATTGCGGTAGATGTTTAGGTTTCCATTTCTTCCTCCCCTTATCATTTACTAACTTACTATAGGTTGACCATACCTCAAAGGCTGTATGGCAACTGCATGGAATCTTGAGCAAGTTTATGGAAAATTATTGAGCCCACTCTTTTCATGATCACTGTTCGCTGTGTGTCCCGAGGGAACTAACTCAAAGTGTCCTTTGACCCCTTCATCTGTGTGTCACCCGGCCAATTCACTGAGCTCACTTTCTCCTCTCTCTCTCTCTCCCTCTCCCTGTCTTTCTCTTTCGTTCTTTTCTACCTGGCCCTGGTTTATCCCAACCTAAAGGCAATAATTCATTCCCTCAGTAATGGATCTGTCCTTTTTCTTTTTAAACAGTTCCTTATCTTAGCCATGAAATCTAGCTGGAGCTGTGTGGTTTCTGATTCCCCCTGGCTTATTCTTTACTTTTTCCCACTTTTCCAGGCTCAGCGGGGAGCTGTTGGATGAGAAAGAGCCTGAAGTCTTGCAGGAGTCACTGGATAGATGCTATTCAACTCCTTCAGGTTGTCTTGAACTGACTGACTCATGCCAGCCCTACAGAAGTGCCTTTTACATATTGGAGCAACAGCGTGTTGGCTTGGCTGTTGACATGGATGGTGAGTACCTTTCTATGAAGGTGATAAGGATCCACTGAGTCTTCTGGTTAGGGTCATATTCCTACTGCAAGTGGCCCTTACTGAGCTGAGGGATGTCATTGCCACAGGGAGGACCTATAGGCACATGTAGGTTGAATGAAGCTCTAGTTCCACTTGGAAGCCCAGACAAGGGATGGGTCAGTGAGCAAGGCGCTCTTCCTAGTCTCAGGCCATGCCTGTGGCGCCCTAATCCTACTCTCATGACATTGGACCTGGGCAGATGTGACAAATTCACACAACTCTGATTTTGTCTCAATTTTGTAGATCTTGTAGATTTCATCCTTCACTCTAATTTCAGCGTCTAAAATCCTCGCTACCATGAACAATCTGAGTATTTGATGAGACAGGGCTGAATAGTGCAGTTTTTCTCCTAGCAACCATTTGGGGGCATTTGCTTTAAATCGATTGGAAAAATATGGCATAACCATTTGCACAAACTTGGGACAAATGATATTGGGATAACGATCTACCAGAATAGGGAATTTTACCCACAGTTTCTGGGACAAAAACCAAGGAATCTCTATGGTGATCAGCCTTCAGGCCTCCTGAAGAATATCTCTCACAGTGTCCTATTCTCATGCTGAGGAGCCTGAAGTCCCTGTGTGAGGATTAGACAGTGGATTGTTATGTGTGTAGGAGAACCAGCTTAATATGTCTGTCCATGTCTGAACTTATTGCAGAAATTGAAAAGTACCAAGAAGTGGAAGAAGACCAAGACCCATCATGCCCCAGGTAACTTTGAGCAATTATGGATGCTTAATTCTGTGTTGACACCTGGAGATGCCAGGTCCAGGGAAAACAAGAGTGTATTCAATTTCATGTTTTCAACGAAGGTTGAATTACGCCTACTGACATTGCTGTTGGTTTTCATTGCAGTAGATGTTTAGGTTTCCATTTCTTCCTCCCCTTATCATTTAGTAACTTACTATAGGTTGACCATACCTCAAAGGCTGTATGGCAACTGCATGGAATCTTGAGCAAGTTTATGGAAAATTATTGAGCCCACTCTTTTCATGATCACTGTTCGCTGTGTGAGGATCCACTGAGTCTTCTGGTTAGGGTCATATTCCTACTGCAAGTGGCCCTTACTGAGCTGAGGGATGTCATTGCCACAGGGAGGACCTATAGGCACATGTAGGTTGAATGAAGCTCTAGTTCCACTTGGAAGCCCAGACAAGGGATGGGTCAGTGAGCAAGGCGCTCTTCCTAGTCTCAGGCCATGCCTGTGGCGCCCTAATCCTACTCTCATGACATTGGACCTGGGCAGATGTGACAAATTCACACAACTCTGATTTTGTCTCAATTTTGTAGATCTTGTAGATTTCATCCTTCACTCTAATTTCAGCGTCTAAAATCCTCGCTACCATGAACAATCTGAGTATTTGATGAGACAGGGCTGAATAGTGCAGTTTTTCTCCTAGCAACCATTTGGGGGCAATTGCTTTAAATCGATTGGAAAAATATGGCATAACCATTTGCACAAACTTGGGACAAATGATATTGGGATAACGATCTACCAGAATAGGGAATTTTACCCACAGTTTCTGGGACAAAAACCAAGGAATCTCTATGGTGATCAGCCTTCAGGCCTCCTGAAGAATATCTCTCACAGTGTCCTATTCTCATGCTGAGGAGCCTGAAGTCCCTGTGTGAAGATTAGACAGTGGATTGTTATGTGTGTAGGGGAATCAGCTTAATATATCTGTCCATGTCTGAACTTATTGCAGAAATTGAAAAGTACCAAGAAGTGGAAGAAGACCAAGACCCATCATGCCCCAGGTAACTTTGAGCAATTATGGATGCTTAATTCTGTGTTGACACCTGGAGATGCCAGGTCCAGGGAAAACAAGAGTGTGTTCAATTTCATGTTTTCAACGAAGGTTGAATTACTCCTCCTGTCATTGCTGTTGGTTTTCATTGCAGTAGATGTTTAGGTTTCCATTTCTTCCTCCCCTTATCATTTACTAACGTACTATAGGTTGACCATACTTCAAAAGCTGTACTCTCATGGCCACTGCATCGAATTTTGACTGGGCCAGATGTGACAAATTCACACCAACTCTGATTTGTCTCAATTTGTAGATCTTGTAGATTTCATCCTTCACTCTAATTTCAGCGTCTAAAATCCTCGCTACCATGAACAATCTGAGTATTTGATGAGACAGGGCTGAATAGTGCAGTTTTTCTCCTAGCAACCATTTGGGGGCAATTGCTTTAAATCGATTGGAAAAATATGGCATAACCATTTGCACAAACTTGGGACAAATGATATTGGGATAACGATCTACCAGAATAGGGAATTTTACCCACAGTTTCTGGGACAAAAACCAAGGAATCTCTATGGTGATCAGCCTTCAGGCCTCCTGAAGAATATCTCTCACAGTGTCCTATTCTCATGCTGAGGAGCCTGAAGTCCCTGTGTGAAGATTAGACAGTGGATTGTTATGTGTGTAGGAGAACCAGCTTAATATATCTGTCCATGTCTGAACTTATTGCAGAAATTGAAAAGTACCAAGAAGTGGAAGAAGACCAAGACCCATCATGCCCCAGGTAACTTTGAGCAATTATGGATGCTTAATTCTGTGTTGACACCTGGAGATGCCAGGTCCAGGGAAAACAAGAGTGTGTTCAATTTCATGTTTTCAACGAAGGTTGAATTACTCCTACTGACATTGCTGTTGGTTTTCATTGCGGTAGATGTTTAGGTTTCCATTTCTTCCTCCCCTTATCATTTACTAACTTACTATAGGTTGACCATACCTCAAAGGCTGTATGGCAACTGCATGGAATCTTGAGCAAGTTTATGGAAAATTATTGAGTCCACTCTTTTCATGATCACTGTTCGCTGTGTGTCCCGAGGGCACTAACTCAGAGTGTCCTTTGACCCCTTCATCAGTGTGTCACCCGGCCAACTCGCTGAGCTCACTTTCTCCTCTCTCTCTCTCTCTCTGCCTCTCCCTGTCTTTCTCTTTCATTCTTTTCTACCTGGCCCTGGTCTATCCCAACCTAAAGGCAATAATTCATTACCTCATTAATGGATCTGTCCTTTTTCTTTTTAAACAGTTCCTTATGTTAGCCATGAAATCTAGCTGGGGCTGTGTGGTTTCTGATTCCCCCTGGCTTATTCTTTACTTTTTCCTACTTTTCCAGGCTCAGCAGGGAGCTGCTGGATGAGAAAGAGCCTGAAGTCTTGCAGGACTCACTGGGTAGATGTTATTCGACTCCTTCAGGTTATCTTGAACTGCCTGACTTAGGCCAGCCCTACAGCAGTGCTGTTTACTCATTGGAGGAACAGTACCTTGGCTTGGCTCTTGACGTGGACAGTGAGTACCTTACTATGAAGGTGATAAGCCTCCACCTGGTCTTCCAGATAGGGGTGATATTCCTGTTCCAAGTGGCCCTTACTGACCCGAGAGATGTCATTGCCGCAGGCAGGACCTATGGGCGCATATAGGTTGTAATGAAACTGTAGTCTCAGTTGGAAGCCTAGACATGAAATGGGTCAGTGAGCAAGGCTCCATTCCTAGTCTCCAGCCATGCCTGTGGCAACCTGAGCCCGCTCTCAGCACATTGGACCCAGGCAGATGTAAAAAATTCACAGAAGTATGATTTGGACTCAAGGGTTTGTAGATTTCCTCCTTCATTCTAATTTCAGTGTCTAAAATTCTTGCATCCATGAACGAGCTGGGCATTTGATGAGACAGGGCTGAATACTGCAGTTTTCCTCCTAGAAATCATCTGGGGCATTTTCTTTGAACTGATGGGAACAATAAGGCATAACTGTTTGCACAAACTTGGGATAAATGATTTTGGGATAACGATCTACCAGAATGGGGATATTTCACCCTTGGTTCTGAGATGCAAACCAAAGAATATCATGACCAGCTTTCAGGCCTCCTGAAGTATATCTCTCACATTGTCCTGTTCTCATGCTGAGGAGCCTGAGATCCCTGTGTGGGGATTAGACAGTGGACTGTTATGGGTGTAGGTGAATTGGCTTATTTTGTCTGTCCCTGTCTGAATGTATTGCAGGAATTAAAAAGGACCAAGAAGAGGAAGAAGACCAAGGCCCACCATGCCCCAGGTAACTGAGCAATTGTGAACAGCTACTTCTGTGTTGACATCTGGAGACTCCTGGTTCAGGGAAAACAGAGCGGGCTGACATTATCGATTACATCTTTTCAACCAAGCCTGAATTATTCCTACTAACATTGCTGTTGGTTTTCATTGCAGTAGATATTTAGGTTTCCATTTCTTCCTCCCCTTCTCATTTACTAACCTACTGTAGGTGGACCAGACTTCAAAAACTGTATTCTCATGGCGACTGCATGGAAACTTGAGCACATTTTATGGAAAATTATTGAGCACAGTCTTTTCATGATCCCTGTATGCTGTGTGTCCTGAGGGCACTAACTCAGAGTGTCCTGTTACTCCCTCATCAGTGTGTCACCTGGACAATTCACTGAGCTCGTTCTCTCTCTCTCTCTGTGTGTGTGTGTGTGTGTGTGTGTGTGTGTGTGTGTGTCTATCTGTCTTTCTCTTTCATTCTTTTCCATTTGGCCCTGTTCTGTCCCAACATGAAGGCAATAATTTGTTACCTCATTAATGGATCTATCCTTTTAGTTTTTTAACCACTTCCCTATGCTACCCATGAAACCTAGTTGGGGCTCTGTTGTGTCTGATTTCCCCTGGCTTATTCTTTACTTTTTCCTCCTTTTCCAGGCTCAGCAGGGAGCTGCTGGAGGTAGTAGAGCCTGAAGTCTTGCAGGACTCACTGGATAGATGTTATTCAACTCCTTCCAGTTGTCTTGAACAGCCTGACTCCTGCCAGCCCTATGGAAGTTCCTTTTATGCATTGGAGGAAAAACATGTTGGCTTTTCTCTTGACGTGGGAGGTGAGTACCTTTCTATGAAGGTGATAAGGATCCACTGAGTCTTCCATATAAAGATCATATTCCTGCTCCAAGTGGCCATTACTGAGCTGAGAGATGTCATTGCCACAGGGAGGACCTATACGCACATGTAGGTTGAATGAAACTCTAGTTCTACCTGGAAGCCCAGACAAGGGATGGGTCAGTGAGCAAGACTCTCTTCCTAGTCTCAGGCCATACCTGTGGCGCCCTGATCCTGTTCTCATGACATTGGACCTGGGCAGATGTGACAAATTCAGAGAACTATGATTTTGACTCAAGGGTTTGTAGATTTCCTTTTTCACTCTAATTTCAGTGTCTAAAGTCCTCACAACCATGAACAATCTGACTATTTGATGAGACAGGGCTAAATATTGCAGTTTTTCTCCTAGAAATCATTTGAGGGTATTTGCTTTAAGTTGATTGTAAAAATATGGCATAACTGTTTGCACAAACTTGGGACAAATGATATTGGGATAACGATCTACTAGAATAGGGACACTTTACCCACAGTTTCTGGGAGAAAAACCGAGGAATTTCTATCATGACCAGCCTTCAGGCCTCCTGAAATATATCTCTCACAGTGTCCTATTCTTATGCTGAGGAGCCTGAGGTCCCTGTGTGAGGATTAGACAGTGGATTGTTATGTGTGTAGGGGAATCAGCTTAATGTGTCTGTCCATGTCTGAATTTATTGCAGAAATTGAAAAGAAGGGGAAGGGGAAGAAAAGAAGGGGAAGAAGATCAAAGAAGGAAAGAAGAAGGGGAAGAAAAGAAGGGGAAGAAGATCAAAACCCACCATGCCCCAGGTGACTTTCGCAATTGTGGATGCTTAATTCTGTGTTAACACCTGGAGGCAACAGATTCAGGGAAACCAGAGTGTGTTTGATGTCATGTTTTCAACGAAGGCTGAATTACTCCTCCTGTCATTGCTGTTGGTTTTCATTGCAGTAGATGTTTAGGTTTCCATTTCTTCCTCCCCTTATCATTTACTAACGTACCACAGGTTGACCATACTTCAAAAGCTGTACTCTCATGGCCACTGCATCGAATTTTGAGCATATTTTATGGAAAACTATTGAGCTCACTCTTTTCATGATCACAGTTTGCTGTGTGTCATGAGGGCACTAACTCAGAGTGTCCTTTTACTCCATTACCAGTATGTCACCTGGCCAATTCACTAGGTCACTTTCTCTCTGTCTCTGTCTCTCTCTCTGTCTCTGTCTCTCTCTCTCTCTGTCTTTCTCTTTCATTGTTTTCTACCTGGCCCTGTTCTATCCCAACATAAAGGCAATAATTTGTTACCTCATTAATGGATCTGTCCTTTTTCTTTTCAAACTCTTCCTTACGTTAGCCATGAAATCTAGCTGGGGCTGTGTGGTTTCTGATTCCCCCTGGCTTATTCTTTACTTTTTCCCACTTTTCCAGGCTCAGCAGGGAGCTGCTGGATGAGAAAGGGCCTGAAGTCTTGCAGGACTCACTGGATAGATGTTATTCAACTCCTTCAGGTTGTCTTGAACTGACTGACTCATGCCAGCCCTACAGAAGTGCCTTTTACATATTGGAGCAACAGCGTGTTGGCTTGGCTGTTGACATGGATGGTGAGTACCTTTCTATGAAGGTGATAAGGATCCACTGAGTCTTCTGGTTAGGGTCATATTCCTACTGCAAGTGGCCCTTACTGAGCTGAGAGATGTCATTGCCACAGGGAGGACCTATAGGCACATGTAGGTTGAATGAAACTCTAGTTCCACTTGGAAGCCCAGACAAGGGATGGGTCAGTGAGCAAGGCTCTCTTCCTAGTCTCAGGCCATGCCTGTGGCACCCTAATCCCACTCTCATGACATTGGACCTGGGCAGATGTGACAAATTCACACAACTCTGATTTTGTCTCAATTTTGTAGATCTTGTAGATTTCATCCTTCACTCTAATTTCAGCGTCTAAAATCCTCACTACCATGAACAATCTGAGTATTTGATGAGACAGGGCTGAATAGTGCAGTTTTTCTCCTAGCAACCATTTGGGGGCATTTGCTTTAAATCGATTGGAAAAATATGGCATAACCATTTGCACAAACTTGGGACAAATGATATTGGGATAACGATCTACCAGAATAGGGAATTTTACCCACAGTTTCTGGGACAAAAACCAAGGAATCTCTATGGTGATCAGCCTTCAGGCCTCCTGAAGAATATCTCTCACAGTGTCCTATTCTCATGCTGAGGAGCCTGAAGTCCCTGTGTGAGGATTAGACAGTGGATTGTTATGTGTGTAGGAGAACCAGCTTAATATATCTGTCCATGTCTGAACTTATTGCAGAAATTGAAAAGTACCAAGAAGTGGAAGAAGACCAAGACCCATCATGCCCCAGGTAACTTTACCCATGAACCTAGTTGGGGCTCTGTTGTGTCTGATTTCCCCTGGCTTATTCTTTACTTTTTCCTCCTTTTCCAGGCTCAGCAGGGAGCTGCTGGAGGTAGTAGAGCCTGAAGTCTTGCAGGACTCACTGGATAGATGTTATTCAACTCCTTCCAGTTGTCTTGAACAGCCTGACTCCTGCCAGCCCTATGGAAGTTCCTTTTATGCATTGGAGGAAAAACATGTTGGCTTTTCTCTTGACGTGGGAGGTGAGTACCTTTCTATGAAGGTGATAAGGATCCACTGAGTCTTCCATATAAAGATCATATTCCTGCTCCAAGTGGCCATTACTGAGCTGAGAGATGTCATTGCCACAGGGAGGACCTATACGCACATGTAGGTTGAATGAAACTCTAGTTCTACCTGGAAGCCCAGACAAGGGATGGGTCAGTGAGCAAGACTCTCTTCCTAGTCTCAGGCCATACCTGTGGCGCCCTGATCCTATTCTCATGACATTGGACCTGGGCAGATGTGACAAATTCAGAGAACTATGATTTTGACTCAAGGGTTTGTAGATTTCCTTTTTCACTCTAATTTCAGTGTCTAAAGTCCTCACAACCATGAACAATCTGACTATTTGATGAGACAGGGCTAAATATTGCAGTTTTTCTCCTAGAAATCATTTGAGGGTATTTGCTTTAAGTTGATTGTAAAAATATGGCATAACTGTTTGCACAAATTTGGGACAAATGATATTGGGATAACGATCTACTAGAATAGGGACATTTTACCCACAGTTTCTGGGAGAAAAACCGAGGAATTTCTATCATGACCAGCCTTCAGGCCTCCTGAAATATATCTCTCACAGTGTCCTATTCTTATGCTGAGGAGCCTGAGGTCCCTGTGTGAGGATTAGACAGTGGATTGTTATGTGTGTAGGGGAATCAGCTTAATGTGTCTGTCCATGTCTGAATTTATTGCAGAAATTGAAAAGAAGGGGAAGGGGAAGAAAAGAAGGGGAAGAAGATCAAAGAAGGAAAGAAGAAGGGGAAGAAAAGAAGGGGAAGAAGATCAAAACCCACCATGCCCCAGGTGACTTTCAGCAATTGTGGATGCTTAATTCTGTGTTAACACCTGGAGGCAACAGATTCAGGGAAACCAGAGTGTGTTTGATGTCATGTTTTCAACGAAGGCTGAATTACTCCTCCTGTCATTGCTGTTGGTTTTCATTGCAGTAGATGTTTAGGTTTCCATTTCTTCCTCCCCTTATCATTTACTAACGTACCACAGGTTGACCATACTTCAAAAGCTGTACTCTCATGGCCACTGCATCGAATTTTGAGCATATTTTATGGAAAACTATTGAGCTCACTCTTTTCATGATCACAGTTTGCTGTGTGTCATGAGGGCACTAACTCAGAGTGTCCTTTTACTCCATTACCAGTATGTCACCTGGCCAATTCACTAGGTCACCCATGCCTGTGGCACCCTAATCCTACTCTCATGACATTGGACCTGGGCAGATGTGACAAATTCACACAACTCTGATTTTGTCTCAATTTTGTAGATCTTGTAGATTTCATCCTTCACTCTAATTTCAGCGTCTAAAATCCTCACTACCATGAACAATCTGAGTATTTGATGAGACAGGGCTGAATAGTGCAGTTTTTCTCCTAGCAACCATTTGGGGGCATTTGCTTTAAATCGATTGGAAAAATATGGCATAACCATTTGCACAAACTTGGGACAAATGATATTGGGATAACGATCTACCAGAATAGGGAATTTTACCCACAGTTTCTGGGACAAAAACCAAGGAATCTCTATGGTGATCAGCCTTCAGGCCTCCTGAAGAATATCTCTCACAGTGTCCTATTCTCATGCTGAGGAGCCTGAAGTCCCTGTGTGAGGATTAGACAGTGGATTGTTATGTGTGTAGGAGAACCAGCTTAATATGTCTGTCCATGTCTGAACTTATTGCAGAAATTGAAAAGTACCAAGAAGTGGAAGAAGACCAAGACCCATCATGCCCCAGGTAACTTTGAGCAATTATGGATGCTTAATTCTGTGTTGACACCTGGAGATGCCAGGTCCAGGGAAAACAAGAGTGTGTTCAATTTCATGTTTTCAACGAAGGTTGAATTACTCCTACTGACATTGCTGTTGGTTTTCATTGCGGTAGATGTTTAGGTTTCCATTTCTTCCTCCCCTTATCATTTACTAACTTACTATAGGTTGACCATACCTCAAAGGCTGTATGGCAACTGCATGGAATCTTGAGCAAGTTTATGGAAAATTATTGAGCCCACTCTTTTCATGATCACTGTTCGCTGTGTGTCCCGAGGGCACTAACTCAGAGTGTCCTTTGACCCCTTCATCAGTGTGTCACCCGGCCAACTCGCTGAGCTCACTTTCTCCTCTCTCTCTCTCTCTCTGCCTCTCCCTGTCTTTCTCTTTCATTCTTTTCTACCTGGCCCTGGTCTATCCCAACCTAAAGGCAATAATTCATTACCTCATTAATGGATCTGTCCTTTTTCTTTTTAAACAGTTCCTTATGTTAGCCATGAAATCTAGCTGGAGCTGTGTGGTTTCTGATTCCCCCTGGCTTATTCTTTACTTTTTCCTACTTTTCCAGGCTCAGCAGGGAGCTGCTGGATGAGAAAGAGCCTGAAGTCTTGCAGGACTCACTGGGTAGATGTTATTCGACTCCTTCAGGTTATCTTGAACTGCCTGACTTAGGCCAGCCCTACAGCAGTGCTGTTTACTCATTGGAGGAACAGTACCTTGGCTTGGCTCTTGACGTGGACAGTGAGTACCTTACTATGAAGGTGATAAGCCTCCACCTGGTCTTCCAGATAGGGGTGATATTCCTGTTCCAAGTGGCCCTTACTGACCCGAGAGATGTCATTGCCGCAGGCAGGACCTATGGGCGCATATAGGTTGTAATGAAACTGTAGTCTCAGTTGGAAGCCTAGACATGAAATGGGTCAGTGAGCAAGGCTCCATTCCTAGTCTCCAGCCATGCCTGTGGCAACCTGAGCCCGCTCTCAGCACATTGGACCCAGGCAGATGTAAAAAATTCACAGAAGTATGATTTGGACTCAAGGGTTTGTAGATTTCCTCCTTCATTCTAATTTCAGTGTCTAAAATTCTTGCATCCATGAACGAGCTGGGCATTTGATGAGACAGGGCTGAATACTGCAGTTTTCCTCCTAGAAATCATCTGGGGCATTTTCTTTGAACTGATGGGAACAATAAGGCATAACTGTTTGCACAAACTTGGGATAAATGATTTTGGGATAACGATCTACCAGAATGGGGATATTTCACCCTTGGTTCTGAGATGCAAACCAAAGAATATCATGACCAGCTTTCAGGCCTCCTGAAGTACATCTCTCACATTGTCCTGTTCTCATGCTGAGGAGCCTGAGATCCCTGTGTGGGGATTAGACAGTGGACTGTTATGGGTGTAGGTGAATTGGCTTATTTTGTCTGTCCCTGTCTGAATGTATTGCAGGAATTAAAAAGGACCAAGAAGAGGAAGAAGACCAAGGCCCACCATGCCCCAGGTAACTGAGCAATTGTGAACAGCTACTTCTGTGTTGACATCTGGAGACTCCTGGTTCAGGGAAAACAGAGCGGGCTGACATTATCGATTACATCTTTTCAACCAAGCCTGAATTATTCCTACTAACATTGCTGTTGGTTTTCATTGCAGTAGATATTTAGGTTTCCATTTCTTCCTCCCCTTCTCATTTACTAACCTACTGTAGGTGGACCAGACTTCAAAAACTGTATTCTCATGGCGACTGCATGGAAACTTGAGCACATTTTATGGAAAATTATTGAGCACAGTCTTTTCATGATCCCTGTATGCTGTGTGTCCTGAGGGCACTAACTCAGAGTGTCCTGTTACTCCCTCATCAGTGTGTCACCTGGACAATTCACTGAGCTCGTTCTCTCTCTCTCTCTCTCTGTGTGTGTGTGTGTGTGTGTGTGTGTGTGTGTGTGTGTCTATCTGTCTTTCTCTTTCATTCTTTTCCATTTGGCCCTGTTCTGTCCCAACATGAAGGCAATAATTTGTTACCTCATTAATGGATCTATCCTTTTAGTTTTTTAACCACTTCCCTATGCTACCCATGAAACCTAGTTGGGGCTCTGTTGTGTCTGATTTCCCCTGGCTTATTCTTTACTTTTTCCTCCTTTTCCAGGCTCAGCAGGGAGCTGCTGGAGGTAGTAGAGCCTGAAGTCTTGCAGGACTCACTGGATAGATGTTATTCAACTCCTTCCAGTTGTCTTGAACAGCCTGACTCCTGCCAGCCCTATGGAAGTTCCTTTTATGCATTGGAGGAAAAACATGTTGGCTTTTCTCTTGACGTGGGAGGTGAGTACCTTTCTATGAAGGTGATAAGGATCCACTGAGTCTTCCATATAAAGATCATATTCCTGCTCCAAGTGGCCATTACTGAGCTGAGAGATGTCATTGCCACAGGGAGGACCTATACGCACATGTAGGTTGAATGAAACTCTAGTTCTACCTGGAAGCCCAGACAAGGGATGGGTCAGTGAGCAAGACTCTCTTCCTAGTCTCAGGCCATACCTGTGGCGCCCTGATCCTATTCTCATGACATTGGACCTGGGCAGATGTGACAAATTCAGAGAACTATGATTTTGACTCAAGGGTTTGTAGATTTCCTTTTTCACTCTAATTTCAGTGTCTAAAGTCCTCACAACCATGAACAATCTGACTATTTGATGAGACAGGGCTAAATATTGCAGTTTTTCTCCTAGAAATCATTTGAGGGTATTTGCTTTAAGTTGATTGTAAAAATATGGCATAACTGTTTGCACAAATTTGGGACAAATGATATTGGGATAACGATCTACTAGAATAGGGACATTTTACCCACAGTTTCTGGGAGAAAAACCGAGGAATTTCTATCATGACCAGCCTTCAGGCCTCCTGAAATATATCTCTCACAGTGTCCTATTCTTATGCTGAGGAGCCTGAGGTCCCTGTGTGAGGATTAGACAGTGGATTGTTATGTGTGTAGGGGAATCAGCTTAATGTGTCTGTCCATGTCTGAATTTATTGCAGAAATTGAAAAGAAGGGGAAGGGGAAGAAAAGAAGGGGAAGAAGATCAAAGAAGGAAAGAAGAAGGGGAAGAAAAGAAGGGGAAGAAGATCAAAACCCACCATGCCCCAGGTGACTTTCAGCAATTGTGGATGCTTAATTCTGTGTTAACACCTGGAGGCAACAGATTCAGGGAAACCAGAGTGTGTTTGATGTCATGTTTTCAACGAAGGCTGAATTACTCCTACTGTCATTGCTGTTGGTTTTCATTGCAGTAGATGTTTAGGTTTCCATTTCTTCCTCCCCTTATCATTTACTAACGTACCACAGGTTGACCATACTTCAAAAGTTGTACTCTCATGGCCACTGCATCGAATTTTGAGCATATTTTATGGAAAACTATTGAGCTCACTCTTTTCATGATCACAGTTTGCTGTGTGTCATGAGGGCACTAACTCAGAGTGTCCTTTGACTCCCTTACCAGTATGTCACCTGGCCAATTCACTAGGTCACTTTCTCTCTGTCTCTGTCTCTGTCTCTCTCTCTGTCTTTCTCTTTCATTGTTTTCTACCTGGCCCTGTTCTATCCCAACATAAAGGCAATAAATTTTTTTTTTACCTCATTAATGGATCTATCCTTTTTCTTTTCTAACCACTTCCTTATGTTACTTCTGAAATCTAGTGGGGCTCTGTGGTGTCCGATTTTCCCTGGCTGCTTCTTTAGTTTTGTCTCCTTTTGCAGGCTCAACAGCATGCTGATGGAAGTGGAAGAGCCTGAAGTCTTGCAGGACTCACTGGATATATGTTATTCGACTCCGTCAATGTACTTTGAACTACCTGACTCATTCCAGCACTACAGAAGTGTGTTTTACTCATTTGAGGAAGAGCATATCAGCTTCGCCCTTTACGTGGACAATAGGTTTTTTACTTTGACGGTGACAAGTCTCCACCTGGTGTTCCAGATGGGAGTCATATTCCCACAATAAGCAGCCCTTACTAAGCCGAGAGGTGTCATTCCTGCAGGCAGGACCTATAGGCACGTGAAGATTTGAATGAAAGTACAGTTCCATTTGGAAGCCCAGACATAGGATGGTTCAGTGGGCATGGCTCTATTCCTATTCTCAAACCATGCCAGTGGCAACCTGTGCTCAGTCTGAAGACAATGGACCCACGTTAGGTGTGACACGTTCACATAACTGTGCAGCACATGCCGGGAGTGATCAGTCAGACATTTTAATTTGAACCACGTATCTCTGGGTAGCTACAAAATTCCTCAGGGATGTCATTTTGCAGGCATGTCTCTGAGCTTCTATACCTGCTCAAGGTCATTGTCATCTTTGTGTTTAGCTCATCCAAAGGTGTTACCCTGGTTTCAATGAACCTAACCTCATTCTTTGTGTCTTCAGTGTTGGCTTGTTTTAGCTGATCCATCTGTAACACAGGAGGGATCCTTGGCTGAGGATTGTATTTCAGAACCACCAACTGCTCTTGACAATTGTTAACCCGCTAGGCTCCTTTGGTTAGAGAAGCCACAGTCCTTCAGCCTCCAATTGGTGTCAGTACTTAGGAAGACCACAGCTAGATGGACAAACAGCATTGGGAGGCCTTAGCCCTGCTCCTCTCAATTCCATCCTGTAGAGAACAGGAGTCAGGAGCCGCTGGCAGGAGACAGCATGTCACCCAGGACTCTGCCGGTGCAGAATATGAGCAATGCCATGTTCTTGCAGAAAACGCTTAACCTGAGTTTCATAGGAGGTAATCACCAGACAACTGCAGAATGTAGAACACTGAGCAGGACAACTGACCTGTCTCCTTCACATAGTCCATATCACCACAAATCACACAACAAAAAGGAGAAGAGATATTTTCGGTTGAAAAAAAGTAAAAAGATAATGTAGCTGCATTTCTTTAGTTATTTTGAACCCCAAATATTTCCTCATCTTTTTGTTGTTGTCATGGATGGTGGTGACATGGACTTGTTTATAGAGGACAGGTCAGCTGTCTGGCTCAATGATCTACATTCTGAAGTTGTCTGAAAATGTCTTCATGATTAAATTCAGCCTAAACGTTTTGCCGGGAACACTGCAGAGACAATGCTGTGAGTTTCCAACCTCAGCCCATCTGCGGGCAGAGAAGGTCTAGTTTGTCCATCACCATTATGATATCAGGACTGGTTACTTGGTTAAGGAGGGGTCTAGGAGATCTGTCCCTTTTAGAGACACCTTACTTATAATGAAGTACTTGGGAAAGCAGTTTTCAAGAGTATAAATATCCTGTATTCTAATGATCATCCTCTAAACATTTTATCATTTATTAATCCTCCCTGCCTGTGTCTATTATTATATTCATATCTCTACACTGCAAATTTTGGGTCTCAATTTTTACTGTGCCTTTGTTTTTACTAGTGTCTGCTGTTGCAAAAAGAAGAAAACATTCTCTGCCTGAGTTTTAATTTTTGTCCAAAGTTAATTTTAATCTATACAATTAAAACCTTTTGCTATCACTCTGGACTTTTGGATTGTTTTTTACATTCAGTGTTATAATATTTGATTATGCTGATTGGTTTTGGTGGGTACTGATGCGAATTAATAAAAACATTTCATTTCCATGTTTATTTTCTAATCTCTTCCACATTGTAGGCTATGTTTACCATACGTAGCAGAATGTATTTACATTGCTTGGTTCTAGTCATTTGTATTCTTCGTGAGTGTGAGTGTGTGTGTGTGTGTCTGTGTGTGTGTCTGTGTGTGCCTTTGGCATTTAGGAAGGGTTGTATAGCTCATGTTAAATATTGCACTAAAAATGTTTTTGATGGTTTTCCTCCCTTTGAAATAGACACACTTCTAATATTTGGTTTATAGTTTTAAATTATAACTTTCAGCATCAAATATTTCCATACAACAGTCAATTACATGATGTGTTTTCTTTTTCCTACCTCCTTTACCTGCCACTTCTCATAATAGTATTTGAACCTAAACATATACCGGTGACATTCTGTGATTATCATCTTGCCCCTACCTTGGTTTTGGTTTTTGGTGCAGTTCCAGGCTCTTGGTGTCTTTGTTTGGGACACCAAGAGCCTGGAACTGCACGGCACCAGCTGGTAAGAATTAGGCTTTTTTGGCCGGGCGCGGTGGCTTATGCCTGTAATCCCAGCACTTTGCGAGGCCAAGGCGGGCGGATCACGAGGTCAGGAAATCGAGACCATCCTGGCTAACACGGTAAAACCCCATCTCTACTAAAAGTAAAAAAAATTAGCCGAGCGTGTTGGCGGGCGCCTGTAGTCCCAGCTACTCGGGAGGCTGAGGCAGGAGAATGGCCTGAACCCGGGAGGCGGAGCTTGCAGTGAGCCGAGATCGCGCCACTGCACTCCAGCCTGGGCGACAGAGAGAGACTCCGTCTCAAAAAAAAAAAAACGGCTTTTTTTTTTCCCTAAGGGTTAACAACAAACCAGCCCTATGGAAAGACTTGCTTCACCACTGTTATCAACCAACGGCCTGATGCTTTTCCTCAGTTTTGTGATTTTGACAAAACAAGCAAGCAGCATTCCCTCCTGATAAGAGACCACCGACCTAGGAATGATTCTGGCCAGACTAGAGAGGATGCACAGTGAGGGTTTTCATGTCCTCTGCTTCAGCTTTTGATGTCAGAGGGCCACAAACTCCACTCTCAGATGATTGCTAATGCCACCATTTTATGAACATGGGCCCCATGGAGAGGCACGAAGCTCAGTTGCACTTCTGCACATTTTTCCTCCTATAAATATTGCTATTGGAATATTATTTGGTACGGCTCCCGTGAAAGATACATTTGCGGAATGTACTCAAATTAGAAGCATCATGTAAACCCTATAATGTAGCAATAGTGCATCAACTTCCCTACACTATAGAAATATCTGCGGTGTAGACATTTCCACAATGACCAAAGATATGTGTACAAGAAAGGTGGCTGCAGCATTCTTTGTAATCCTAAAACAATGAAACCTACCTCATCTCAAAAACTTTATTTTTTTATTTTTATTTTTTTTGAGATGGAGTCTCGCTCTGTTGCCCAGGCGGGAGTGTAGCGGTGCAGCCTCCACTGGTGCAGCCTCCACTGCAGCCTCCACCTCCCAGGTTCAAATGATTCTCCTGCCTCAGAATCCCAAGTACCTGAGATTACAGGCACATGCCACCATGCCTGGCTAACAAAAACATTTTGAAAAGGGTTAAATAAATCATGCACAAACTGAGGAAAAATACTCTTTTCAAAAATGATGGAGAGGATCACTATGATGATGAATGATTCCACTGGTCACATTATTGATAGAGCAATCAGTAAATCCAGGCACATCCTCGGGATATTACTGACCTCCTATTATTAAAATATGAAAAAATGGAGGCATGTAAATTACTCGTTTAAGCGTATAACGGACTGAATTAGAATTTTATCACACCAGAAGTGGGTTCCTAGGTCTCTGTTTCAGGATTCCTGAGTTACACACGTATAAACCCAGGATTTCAGGAGATACCCGGTTAAGAATCCGGTCGGGGAGGTAGGCTGGCCCTTGACATGGATAAGTCACAAATTAGTGGCTTAGGACTCCAGGAAGATAAAATTTTCCCCATTTATCTAGTGATTGACAATGCATGAATACTTTAAAAGCTCGAACAACCGTTCCTGGGTGGGCTCGAACCACCAACCTTTCGGTTAACAGCCGAACGCGCTAACCGACTACGCCACAGAGACAGGTACTGTCAGTCAGTTCTACTGGGCGCTATAGGAAGGGCGCACGCACGAAACTTCCTCCGTCCCTTGCATCCTCAGGGCCCGCCCGGCAGGACGACTGAGCAAGGCCTTGGAAGACCGGAGAGATTGGAGTGGTAAGTCGCGCTGGTCACGTTGGACACCTGCGCATTGGGAGATTCTGGAGCCAGAAGGATAGCCGAATGGCCTTGGCCCGCCCTGCCCCTCGCCTGCTTCAGAAACCCCCGGAAACGCCCCGGTTGAGACCCCGGCCCGAGCCGCCTGGGGGCCCTAGGGAGGCTGAACGCCCGGTGGCTCCCGGGATGGCTCTTCCCGTTCTTTGCGCCGACTTCACCCAGTGAGGGAGCCTGTGCCCTCCCTGCCCAGTCGCTTTTGGGGCCGCTGCGGAGCTTCCGCTGCCATCTTCGGATCCTGTGTTCCGCACGGGGGCTCCACCAGAGCAGGGATCGTGGTGAGGGTGGCTCGTGGGTCCCCCTCGTGGGGAGCAGGGTCTGGCACTCACCAGGGCGCAGGACTAGGACTTGTCGAATGAATCCATCCTTTTAGCTTTTAGTCCTTTGAAGAGCCTTGAGAATGGAAATCATGAGAGATTTTTCCATGGGGAAGTTCCTTTTACAAAGCATTTATTTACGTTGACTTCTTGGCACCCCGCGGGGCGGCAACGGGCAGGGCCTCCAGTGCACCTTCTGCGCCGTGGAGCCGCGGGGGCTCAGCTGGGCGGTGGTCGGGTCCTGAGGCCGGAGGGCGGGAGCAGGGGAAGGGAAAAGCAAAAGCGGTGAAAGAAGCCGGGGAGCGGTGGACCAGACGTCCAGACCTCCTGAAAGGCTGGCGGGGAGGCACAGGCGGGATCTTCCGGAGGTGAGAATTTTTTTTTATTATAGCAGAATGGGGAGGAATTGAGGGGAAAATGGAGATAGAACCTGAAAGAGCCCCAAACGCCAGAACCTGTAGCTCCCCAAGAATAAGATCTTCCAGAAGAACTAGACCCAAAACTAGCCGTTGGGGAACACCGAAATCCTTGGAGGAGCAACATCCGCATGACCCTCTGTGTTCCTTTAGGCAAAAGGACTTGCTTCCATTGTTTGTTCAATTGTTTGTGTTTGTTAAATAAATAAAACGATTTTCATGTATCTTTGAAATTACTTTGGCGCTACTATTTTATGATTGCAAATAATGCGGCAGTGATCATTCTTGTACACTTCTCATTGGCCATTTGTGTATTTCTATAGGGTAGAGGCCTGGAGAGCAGTTGCTCCAGCATAGGGATTACACAGTTTTTGTTTGTTTATTTATTTATTTATTTTTGAGACAGAGTCTCGCTCTGTCACCCAGGCTGGAGTGCAGTGGCGCCATCTCAGCTCTCACTGCAACCTCCGCCTCCCGGGTTCAAGCGAATCTCCTGCTTCAGCCTCCCAAGTAGCTGAGATTACAGGTCCGCGCGAGCCACCACATCGGGCTAATTTTTGTATTTTTAGTAGAGACGGGGTTTCACCGTTTTGGCCAGGCAGGTCTCAAACTCCTGACCTCAAGTGATCTGCCTGCCTTGGCCTCTCAAAGTGCTGGGATTACAGGCATGAGCCACCGCACCCAGCGATTACATTTTTTTTTAATATATATCATTCTATTTTCTTTCCTTATTTGGCTTATTAGCTGTAACTCTTTCTTTTGTTATGTCAGTGATGGCTTTAGGGTCCCTAGAATACATCTTTATCTGTCTGCCATCAAGTGACATTATACCTCCCCTTCTGGCCTTTATGCTAGTGTTGTCAGGGAATTTGATTTTGGACATGTTATAAACCCCAACATCCAAGTACGTACATAGCGATTTTCAGTCGTCTCCATTTCTTTGTGTAGGTTCAGATTTCTGTTTGGTATCCTTATCCTTAGGCCTGGAGGACTCCTTTAATATTTCTTGTAGTGTGGTTCGGTGAATTCTGTCATTTTTTTGTATGTCTTTAAATGTCCTGATTTCAGTCACATTTTTGAAAGATATTTCAATTTGGCATAGAATTCTAGAATAACTTTTTTTCTCTCAGTACTTTAGGATGTTGCCACTTTGACGCTTTGTCATTGACATATCTTTCCTGTTTTTGTAAACTTGGCATAAAGTGGGTTTCCTGTACTTGTTATATGATTTTTGGATTGTGTATTCAAATTAAAAGTATTAAATTAAAATTAAAATGGCCTGGGTGAGGTGGCTCACACCTGTAATCCCAGCACTTTGGGAAGGGGAGGCAGAGGATCGCTTGAGACCCAGAGTTGGAGACCACCCTGGGCAAGATAGCAAGACCCTGTGTGTGTGTGTGTGTGTGTGTGTGTGTATACACATAAATATGTATATATATTATATGTATGTATGTATATATAAGTCCTACAGTCACCTTAAGTTCCACCAACAGTGCGCTTAAGGTAAAATGTGCCCAACCTGAGGCTCAAACCTACCTGCTGGCACGCAATTTGTGTTTGTGAGACAATCTCAACAGCATTTGCTTTTTCTAGCATAGTGGTTTTCCTGTTTTCCTCACATGTGAATGTCTTCAGTGCAAAACCTGTCAGAATTCATTTCCTTTGCTAAAATGTTTTAAAATAACTCTTACTTCAAGTAAGTGCATTAAAAATAAACTTCTCAGTTGCATCCCTGGAATCCATGGAAAGTCCAGGAGAGACAATCAAGTGATACAGGATCAAGCCCAAACAGAACAGGACTAGGCATGGCTTCCTCACTAGGAGCCAGGCCAAAGTCATCTCCTTTGGTCTCCAATGGAGGCCAGAACTCGGTTCACCTGCAACGGGAGGACCTGGCCCAGAAGAGGTGGCCTTCATCTTCATGGTGCCTTCAGATAGGAAATCTAGGATTTCTTTTCTTCTCTTTCATCTACTTCCAACTCTCCCTTTCTATTTATTTATTTATTTATTTATTTATTTATTTATTTGAGACAGAGTCTTGCTGTGTTGCCCAGGCTAGAGTGCAGCGGGGCAGTCTCAGCTCACTGCACCTCCGCCTCCTGGGTTCTAGAGATTCTCCTGCTTCAGCCTCCTGAGTAGCTGGGATTACAGGCGCCCGTCACCGCGCCCGGCTACTTGTTGTATTTTTAGTAGAGACAGGGCTTCACCATCTTGGCCAGGCTGGTCTCGAACTCGTGACCTCGTGATCCACCCACCTCGGCCTCCCAAAGTGCTGGGATTACAGGCGTGAGCCACCGCATCTGGCCCTCCCTTTCTATTTCTTCAAGACCTTTTTCGGATCCCTCCTGCGCAGGACCTAAACGGGCGGTGCCCTTACCCACTGGTCCCTCCCTGCCTGCTGTCTTCGGAGCCCTAGCTCACCCGGAACGTTACTGCCCGCCGGTGACAGCGAGAGGACCAAAGAGGGCAGCGGGTGCGGTGGGATCCACAGAGTCACCGCGCACCTGCTCCTCGCGGGCTCCTCGCAAATTGAATAAACGCCCCCTGAAGCTTCTCTTCAAGTCACAGGGAAGGGGAAGGTGGCTGCCGACCCGGCGGGAGAAGCCGGCCCTGCCCCTGGTCCTTGAAGACAGGTTTGGCCAGGCTGATTTTGACTGGTAGGCCCAAAGAAAAGCCTCAAGGGCAGACCAAACTCCGACAGGCTCCGAGATTAAGGCTTTCAAACGTCTGATCGTTTTCAGCTTGGTCAGTAAAATCGATCTCGCCTTTATCAGGAGATTCCTTTGCCAAAGTTCAGAGACCTGGGGTTCCAGCTGCTTGCCACACAGAAAACCAATCACTGAGATGGTTATTGCCAAGGAAGAGGCTTTAATAGGGTGCTGCAGCGGAGGAGATGAGAACTCAGTCTCAAATCCATCTCCCTGACCAACCAAAACTAGAGGCTTAGATGGCAGGGAAAGAATGTGACAATGTGTAAGAAAACAGGAACTAGACCAGGCGCGGTGGCTCACGCCTGTAATCCCAGCACTTTGGGAGGCCGAGGGGGGCGGATCACGAGGTCAGGAGATCGAGACCATCCTGGCTAACACGGTGAAACCCCGTCTCTACTAGAAATACGAAAAGAAATTAGCCGGGCTTGGTGGCGGGCGCCTGTAGTCCCAGCTACTCGGGAGGCTGAGGCAGGAGAATGGCGTGAACCCGGGAGGCGGAGCTTGCAGTGAGCCAAGATAGCGCCACTGCACTCCAGCCTGGGAGGCAGAGGGAGACTCTGTCTCAAAAAGAAAAAAAAAGAAAAAAGAAAAGAAAGAAAACAGGAACTAGGGAGGGGCAAGGAAGCAATCAGGATGAATGAGGGGTCCGGCATCTCATTGTCTGGGTGACTTTCAGTTCTTTGATATCTTTTTTGAGAGGCCTGAAGGAAGGAACTCAAATAAAACAAATATCGAGTTTCAAACTTTCAGATCAGAAGGGTCCATTTCTATGTTTATCCAAAAATCTACGTATGGGACTATTGGGTGGGTTTCAGACCAAGAAAGAGTGTGCATATCAAAGTCTGCGGTTAACCAAAGAGAAAACATAATTTTCCGACCAATAGGATGTATGGGGGTCAAAGAACGACCAGCCTACAGTACTGTTTATTGGCCTGAGCATACGGAAGGATGAAGTTGCACCAGCGAAATGGGATTAAGCTGCAGGTGCGGGCTGGGCGCGGTAGCTCACACCTGTAATCCCAGCACTCTGGGAGGCTGAGGTGGGTGGATCACTTGAGATCAGGAGTTTGAGACCAGCCTGACCAACATGGTGAAACCTCGTCTCTAATAAAAATACAAAAATTAGCCGGGCGTCATGGCGGGCACCTGTAGTCCCAGCTACTAGGGAGGCCGAGGCAGGAGAATTGCTTGAACCCGGGAGATGGAGGTTTTAACGAGCCGAAATTGCGCCACTGCCCTCCAGCCCGGGCAACAGACCGAGACCCCTTCTCAAGCAAAAATAAAAACAAAAAGCTGCAGGTGGAAAAAAAAGTCTGGATTTTGGTTCAGAGCCCCTGGGGCCTTCCTCAGTAGTTTTCTCTTTCCTTGAAAAAGGAAGCCTGTCTCAGTCTCTGCATCTCTCTGAGTCCTTTTGGAGATTGAGGATGGTGAGGTCTCAGTGCTTGGCCCCCTTCTAACTCTGGGTACCTCCCCTCCCGTGGTCAACCTGGTCCAGTGCACAGGCCCCAGCTCCGACGACCATCTCCCCCCTACCCTTTGCTCCCAGCAAAGGCCATTTCTAGGTCAGTCGTGAGGTACAGCCAGGACAGGGCAGCTCGCTCCGAGATTTTTGGCTCTCGAAGGCCTTGAGCGCTGTGGTTCTGCAGAACGCTGTCTGCCTCTTGTGGAGGAACTGACACCCGCTGGAGAAAGTGTGGAGGGAAGCGAGGGCTGCACCTGCATGCAGGAGCTGAGGCAAGCGGCGGTTCCCAGCTCTCAGTGCAAAAGACATTTGTCATCTGAGAGGCTGGACTCAGTTATTATAATTTTCAATTTTGTCAATAAAAACCGAATGGAAATTTGTTTTCTTACTTGTAGAAACCTCCTCACAAGACCTCCCATCTTACATTCCAGGGAGAATTAGCAGGGTATTCCGCCAAGACATAGGTTAGACTGCGGTTCTGACCTGCAGGCCTCGATGCCCTGCGCCAGGGCACCAGGGCATGGGCAAAGCCCTCCCCCTACACAAAGCAAGGGTGTTATGTCTACAACCGAACGGGGACACTAAGAGCCCCCAACATGCACGGTTTTCATTCCAAAGAAAACCACCAGTTCTGAGTACAACTTCCACCTGGCTCTATTAACTGAGTACACGTTTCCCCAACACAGAAATCCTACAAACTCCCGTGA
This sequence comes from Homo sapiens, assembly GCF_000001405.40. Classification (NCBI taxonomy): domain Eukaryota; kingdom Metazoa; phylum Chordata; class Mammalia; order Primates; family Hominidae; genus Homo; species Homo sapiens. The sequence goes on from NW_025791753.1 coordinate 460,633, forward strand.
ATGCTGTGGTGAAAAGCAGGAGCTGCCAGGGCAAGATGGATCGCACCTGTAATCCCAGCACTTCAGAAGGCTGGGCGGACCACTTGAGCCCAGGAGTTGGAGCCCAGCCTGAGCAGAATGGTGAAACCGCTACGAAAAAAGAAAAAGAAAGGAAAGAGAAAGAAAAGAAAAGAAAAAAAAAGAGAAAAAACTAGCCGGGTGTGGTGGCGTGTGGTTGTCCTACTCGGGAGCCTGAGATGGGAAGATCGCGCCACTTCTCCAGACTGGACGGTACAGCGAGACTTGTCTTAGGGAGGGGGGGAAAAAAACAACAAAAAAAACAGAGGCTAAGAGGTAACTCCGAGGATGACAGAAAACACCAGAGTTTTTAAGAGATGTTAGAAGCCCTGGGAGCACTGAACAAACCAGAAAGCTCCCGACCCTTGATCCCTGAGCTCCACCTAGCAAGTACAGCGGCAGCTAACCTGGGAGAACACCCCAACCAACAGAGACTGAAATTCGCCTCCCAAGAGAGTAAGTGGATAGTTCTAAGCTGTCCCCAAACATGGCCTCACAAACGAAAACTAACCGTTGCGAACGGAAACAACTGACCGGACAGAACACAGCCACAAAACACGAGCCCGCACCCTGAATTACAAAAACACTTACGGCTCACCTACTATTCGCACCACAAAAGCACCAGAGGAAAGCGCGAACGCAGTCCCCCACTACCACAAATTATGCAGTCGAGTTTCCCACGTTTGGGGAAATCGCAGAGGTCAGCACATCCGGAACACAATGGATAACCCTCGCCCTGAGAAAAACCACCTTCGTTTGATAATAGTATCTCCCCTGCCAGGTAAGTATAAGCTTTTGCACCTCCGCCCCGCCACAGCCTCACACGCTTCACCCTTTACACGCACGGTCACTTGCCCCGCGCACCTCCCCGCCCCCCCCAGCCCTCCTAGCCCTGACACACAGCTGGGACTCTCAGGTCCGACCAGCGGTCCTGAACCCACTCCCACGGCACGGGAACTCCTTAGTGGCGAAGCAGCAGCCCCTGCGCTGCCTCATCTACATAGAAATCGCCCTATCCGTGATGTCACTGACAGCGCCTTTCCCAGTCCCCGTCTGCTCTTCCGCCCCACCCTCCGCCGACTCAGCCGATCAACCCGCTGCCGGAGCTGGCGAAGGAAGTGACGTCTGTCTCTTTCTCCTTTTCCTCCTGCCATTGTCCTTTGGGGAGGTGCGCAGAGACCCCGCGTCTGGTCTCCCCCTAAGACTGTGGTACTTGATCTGTGTCCTGCAGAGAACCCTTCTGGCGGCCAACAGGAAGCTTTTGCACCCTTCTTCAGATAATGTCTTTTAATGCGCAGACTTGAACGTTTAGGATTACAAGGAAAACCGGTTCCTTTCAAACCTGTTTATCTTTGTGATGTAGCATTCCGCTTCAAGTTGAAAGCCATTCAATGTCAGAGAGAAAACATATCTATGAAACCAGAGAGGCTGCTCAGATGGGTTGCAAACTAGCCATCCTTACTGGTTTTACCACTAGAAGTGTTACAAAGACAGTTGTCCAATTTTATGAATCTTGAAGGGTTTTTTGTTGTTGTTGTTATTTCAAATACAGTGTAATACAAAAATATGTGGCCCCCGCAGAGACGATTGGACACTCTCAGGCATGGTGATGGAGTTTGTCATCTCTTCCACGGCCATCTCAGAACCTTAGTGCTTACCTCATATTAGTATTTTATATTCTCCAAAGACACAAAAATAATCCCAATTTGACAAAACAAACAAGCAAAAAAACATCTAGGGCATGTCTTATTTGAGGCGCTTAACAAATGACTGGATCATCTCCCTTGTATATAACCCAGAAAACACTGTGAAGTAGAGCAAAATTGGAAAGCCCAAGTCAAAGACCATTTGCAAATTTCAAGTAGATTCCAGTCTGTTGCTCAAATCACAAAACATGAAATGGAGGGGTCTCCCTTGGAGACCATAAAGTCTGTGACATGGTGGCCAGTTGGGTCACTGGAAAACATGGCAAAATATTGAAAATGAGGGATTAGGTGAGAGTGTAGCAACTGAACACTAAATGCTTGATCCAGGTGCCATTCCCTGGATACTGACAGGGAGACACATTGTCCAGGTAATACTGGAAAAAGGGGGTGGGCACAGTGGCTCATGCCTGTAATCCCAGCACTCCCTCAGGAGGCTGGCAGATTGCCTGAGTCCAGGAGTTTGAGACCAGCCTGGGAAACATGGTGAAACCCCATCTCTACAAAAAAAAAAAAAAAAAAAAAAAAAATTAGCCAGGCATGGTGGTGAGCACCTGTGGTCCCAGCTACTCAGGAGGCTGAGGTGGGAGGATTACTTGAGCCTGGGAGGTGAAGGTTGCAGTGACCCAAGCTTGCAACACTGCACTTCAGCCTGGATGACAGAGGAATGGGCCTTCACTAGACACTGAACCTGCTGGCAACTTGATCTTGGACTGACCATCCTCCATAACTGTGAGCAATAAATTTTTGTTGTTTATAAGTTACTCACTCTGTGGTATTTTGTTATAGCAGCACAACTGGATTAGGACATCAACCTGACCTTAAGAAATCATCTCAATTCAGTCTTGGCTCTGGTGGGAAACAAGGGACACACTCGGATGTGTGATTTAAAGAGAGTTGTGGTTTTTTTTTTGTTTTTTTTTTTTTGAGATGGAGTCTCGCTCTGCTGCCCAGGCTGGAGTGCAGTGGTGCCATCTCGGCTCACTGCAAGCTCCGCCTCCCGGGTTCACGCCATTCTCCTGCCTCAGCCTCCCGAGTAGCTGGGACTACAGGCGCCCGCTACCACACCCGGCTAATTTTTTGTATTTTTAGTAGAGAGCGGGTTTCATCACGTTGGCCAGGATGGTCTCGATCTCTTGACCTCCCAAAGTGCTGGGATTACAGGCGTGAGCCACCGCGCCCGGCCTAAAGAGAGTTTTATGAAGAGAATATTTATAAATATAATATGGACAGGATCAAAACAACCCAACCAAGGACTGAGAGGCGCTCAGAATCTGGAATCAGCAGAGAAGTTGTATTGCCTCTAGGACTGGATTGTTGTATAAGTCTGTTCAGGTTGCCATAACAACCTGGACAGGACCGTAGTCCTGTCCAGTGATCCTCCCCAAGACAACCGTTCTCTCTAGTAACTATGGTTTTCCTTTCACATTTCAATTGTCACCTCAATTGACTGAAATGTGAACACCAACTCCCGCACTTAAATGTTGAAGCCCTAACACCTACTGTGATGATTTATGCAGCTGGGGCCTTTGAGAGGTAATCAGGATTAAAAGAGGTTATGAGAGTGGTGTCCTCATGCTGAGATTAATGCCATTACAAGAAGAGAGACACTAGAAAGCTTGCTTGTCCGCCTTCCCCCTGGTGCACGAAGAAATGGTCACATGGGCACACAGTGAATCTACAGCCACTTACAGGCCATAGGAAGAGACCTTAGAAAGAAATCCGCTTTGCTACCACCTTTATCTTGGACTTCCCAACTTCCAGAAGTGTGAGAAATACATTTCTATAGTTTAAGCCACTTGGTGTATGGTATCTTGTTATGGCAACCTGAACAGACTTATACAACAATTAAGTTGCCTTTCCACTGATGGACTTAGACACAATCTCTTTCCCAAAAAAGAGCTATATTTAGCTACTTTTCTTTTGCATATTGTTCCATTTGCAGCCACACTATTTGTCTTCCCCCACACCACTTCTATCACCAGGAATCCATTTTCCTTGTTTTCTTTTTAATATCGGGAGCCTCTGCTCACTGCACTGCATAGTCCTTGGGGCTTTTTTTAAACTTTATTTTTAACAATCATTTGAGCAGAAAGTAGCCAATTCAGTTCTTTAATTTCCCATTTTATTCTTGGTTTGAAACTGACCTGATTGTGTCCCTTTTGTTATGACCAGTTACTTAGAAGCCATACAGCCCACAAGGTACCCTTGGGTATAAATCCAACTTCTTCATTTTAATGGTGAGAAATCAAAAGCCCATGTTTCCTGATTTCTGGCCCAGCACTGGAACTGTTTTCATGGCATGTCAATTCATCATACATTTTAATAGTGATATTTTATATTTGCATAATTTTATTGCCTTTGCAATGGGCTTTCACATCTATCTTCTCATGTGTATATAGTTTAAAGGCCATTTTTACCCACTATCTCCTAATCATATCGACCACAGCCTCAGGAAATGTCTGCTCTATTATTTCACTTGCCTGTCTGGGTTCTTGGGCAACAGCATAGAATCCTGCACTGTGTTTTCCCTCACGCTTTCTCACTCTCTGCAGAACAAATTTTTGTTACATGCCTTATTATCATGGTAATATTGGCCTTCAGTCCTGTATAGAAGCATTAAAAATGTGCATAATGTATATCCTTTTAAAATGTTATCCTAAGAAGCATCTTTTTGGAGTTAAGGAGAGTTAGATGAATAAAGAAAGAATACAGTTTCTCCTAAACAAACCCACTAAGAAAATCATGGAAAGAATTATGACAACTATGAAAATGAAGGAGGTATACTTTGTCAACAAAAGCAAAATAACCAAGCTACTCTTAGACATAATCTCACATTATCTTTCTGTAGTGCTCTAGCATTTTCTAAGCCTTTTCACACACTGTTATCTCTTTTTTTCTTTCTCCTTCTAGAAATTAATTATGACTTTTCCTTTCAAAAATGAAGGACTTTTTTTTTTTTTTTACTCTTTTCATTTTTTCCTGAGACCATATGTCAAAGGGAATGTGAGGAACAACTTTGGTGTGGTAATAGCCAAATTTCTCCAGGCCTGCTCCTCAAGCTTGCAAAGTCAAGACTGGCAGAAGTGGTGATTTTTACCTGGGTATCCTGAGAACCTTGCACAGTCCTTATCACATGCATGTGTTCAGAGTGTGCAAATAAATGAAGAAATGTGAGATTGTGATGATATTTTCATGGCATGCTTTTTTTCCACACTTCCTCATGCAGCCCAACATCCTCTACACTGTGTTGTTCTACCCGTTTAAGTGATTTACCACTTCTCCATTAAGCCAACTTAAACCATGTAGCCTTCAACTCAACATTGATTGATCCCCAATACAGTCCTGTAGGGAGGCAAGAAAACTTACAAATGAAGTGGTAAAGAAAGAGAGAGATTAAGTAATTTGCCCCAAATCTCATAACCACTAGGTGATAAATCTTCAACTAGAACTCAAATATCTGGCTGAGAATTCAGTGCTCTTTTAATTTAAATCACATTGCTTCATAAAAATAGATCTGCAGGAAGAATAAAAATGTCCAAAGTGCAATGAGAGAGAAGATAATATGGAGACAGAAATATTGCACAGAAAGCATTTGACCATATGTCTGCCTGATCCCCTTCATGTGTCTTGTTCATAACTTACTTTACTCGGGCAGCAGGAGATAGCATAACAACTGTCAGAGTGAATTTAGGCCACAGTTTTGTGTTGCTGAATGTGTTGAGTCATTTCCCTTAGTTCACATTTCTACCTAACTTTATCTTTTAAGTCATCATCATGCCTTTAATCTCTTATTTATTTTGACTGTTGAGATTTTGTAGCCATTATCCAAATAAAACATTTATTTTCACTCGTGAGTCCCTAATCCTTCCTCAATGGAATTAGCTATTTATTTGATGCAATAGCTAGACCAGTAGGGTTAAAAATGCTTTTATAAAGACATTAATAGCTGGGTATGGTGATATGCACCTAGGGAGGCTATGGCAGGAGGATCACTTGAGTCCATGAGTTTGAGGCCAATGCCTTCGCAACATAGTGAGACCCTGTCTTTAAAGTAAAAATTTAAAAATTAAAAGAAAAGACATTTAAAAAGGCTGTTTACCAAAATGATGGTTAATTGACAGAAAATAGAAACTGAAACTAGAAATCATTGCCATCAGCTTTCTCTAATGTGTACTTGATCCTTTTCTCCCTGTGATGGAAGTCGAAAGTCTTTTTGTTTTTTTCTTAATCCACTACTGTTCAAATGAGAATAAACAGCCAAATGACTGAATTAGTTGGTAGACATAATTCCTAGTCTTCAATTATTTTTATATTCTTTTGTAATACAGTCATTATTTTTTCAGACTTCTATAATATTGCATTTAACCAATCCCCAAATAGGGAAACATTATGTAATTTTTCTATTATTTACAGTTCCTTGATTATAATCTTTTATTTGAAAAGATTATATATTTATATAAAAACCCAGTTTCTTTCTTACATATAAATATTATTAGTAGTCTAAAAATGTCACTCTCAATAAACAGGATGAGTCAACTTGAGGACTAGAGAATCAGGTAGTCAACATCAGAGAACTGGTTATCAAACAGAAGGGGCCTATCCAGATAGAGAGAAGTCAGGCAGGGCTGTGCTGTGAAAATATTAGAGAAGCTTGATGGGAGGCCTAATATAGTTTGTCTTTACACCTGTATATTTTGCTTCTTGCATCTGCTTCAATGCCCTCTGTCATTTATTATAACTAGATTTATTGTTCCAATAGATTTGTACTACAGTCAGAACAAACAAATCACTGGATCCAGCAGAAGCCTTAGATATATGACATAACAGAGATTTGCACAAAGATTTGCCCCATTGCCTTCTCGAATTTCTCTTATCATCAATCCATCTAGCTGGAGCTCTCTGAAGGTCATCAGAGGTCAGTATAATTTTAATAAGATTTTAACTGAAGGATAGCCTTGATGTTCAGTGACCTTCAGACATGTTTATAATCGAGAAGCCACTCCCCCTGTTGAATGATAACCTCTTCCATGAATTACCAAACCAATGGTGCTCACATTCTGATTAACCATTGATTCCCATAAACCCAGCTTCCCCCAACACTGATGATCTAAATAACCTGAATTATTTGCATTGCCTTATCAATTCCATCTCATTTCCTGTCTTGGTGGTTTTGCTCACACTGCTTCTATGTGGAATGTCCGTATGTAGCCACTCGAGTTTCCACTTCATCGTTCCATCATCTGTAGTCTCTATACACTATCCATCATCAGGACTAATGTGAGCTGACTTTCCTCCAAAAAGCTTTCCCTGAACTTATCCTGAAATAACGTTTTTCTCTGCTAACTTACCATTTGTCACGTTAGTATACAGCTTCTCTAACTGTCATGAAATGAAATAAATGGGAAGAAGATGAAACTTGAAAAGAAATCTGCTTCTTAAGGCAGGCCCTGGGGGAATAGCCCTGGCTGGAGGTAATGTAAGGTCTAGATGGTGTTTTTAGAATCTGAAGACTGCAACACCAAACACAAGTATAAGCCTAGGCAAGCTGTCAGTGCAGGGCCTAAAATTAGGTATTTCAACAAGTGGATGAATCAATTTGGGGAATTGTATTAGTAAACAGAGGAAGCCCGTCCAGTAAAAGGGAGAGTAAGCAGGGATGCAATTTAAAACTATTGAGGAAAAAATGGCTAAGAAATAGTAAAATTAACACATGGCCTAAAATATTAAGAAATTAAGCCTGTTACAGAATTACTGACCTGGCTAGTATATAGGAGCATTAACAACACAAAAACAGATTAGGTCGGGATTAGCAGTGGGGGTGAAATAATCTTCAGGGCTGAACTACTGAGCTAGAAATATTTAAATCCTCCTTGCAGATGAGAACTATAGAGGACAATTTATTGGTTCAGCATGAATTTCTGGTCTTCTGTTAAGAAATACGCTCTTTCATTGAAAGTGAACATTGAGGCAGTAAACTCCAAATACAGCTGCAGGTACTATCTCCTGCTGATTTGTGTGTATAGAGCATGAAAGAAAGGCTCAGAAACAAAAGCATGTTGGAAAAATAAGCAGAAGGAGGCATTTACTTGCAAAGAAATGTGAGGAAGTCATTCTTCAAAAGAACTGCCCAAAAAATTAAAAAAATAGAACTTTTTAAGACAAACAATATTATGAAGACTATAGGGTTTATATTAATCTCTTCATGGCAGAAAACAGCAATTTTATCATGGTTATTATATTCAGAAAGTTCATGACATATCTTCAGACAATAAACAGCATTGTAAAGTCAAGGATAAAGTGATTTTCATTAAGGAGTTAGCAAATCTCAGGAAATGCTCAAGGTTTTATTCATTTGGAGGACTGCAGGTAGACAGAGAGACCCTTTTATTGTTTCTTTATGTCAGAGTGCAGAGTTTTTTTTTCTCTGTTTCTTCAGCAGTGGGACATGATGAATGGGCTGACAATGGTGTCAGGCCCCGATGTCACTTTGGTTTTTACACTTCATCTTGCGGTCATGTTTCCTTCTCTACAGGACATGTTTGTCTACCTCCATTTGCTGAACAATGTTCCTAATCAGTACTATTGATTTTACATTTTAATTTGATCCATTTTATTTGCACAGATCTAAGAAGTGTTGATTAATATTTAATGACCTCCTAGTATTTTTTTGATGAAACAATAAACTAAGTCTCACAAGTTTACGTCTATCTATAGATTTATAAAGCCCTTGTGGTTTAAATTTACTTTTACATGTTTAACAGCTCAGTTTAGAGCAGACCAAACCAGTCCGTTCACCTCTACCTGATTTCATCTGCAGTATTTATAATGCAAATGTATCCTTTTTAATAAAAGATATCCAATGTCTCGGTGTCCCTGCTCTGCCAAGAAAGGACATTCTTTCTTACCTCCAAGCCTGAGATTGCATAGTCCATAGAGCAAGCACCAGATTGGTTTCCTAGAAGGATGTTATAGGCATCGCTTCTGCGTGAAAAACATAGAAATTATTCTTATTACTGGATTTGTCTTGTCTAGTTAAATTGAATTTGTAGCACAGCTATAAATTTTTTATTAAAAAATTGATTCTTCCTGGCTGGGCAAGGTGGCTCATGCCTGTAACCCCAGCATTTTGAAAGGCTGAGGCCGGCAGATCACCTGAGGTCAGGAGTTTAAGACCAGCCAGGCCAACATGGTGAAACCCCGTCTCTATAAAAATACAAATAGTAGCCTAGCATGATGGTGGGTGCCTGTAATCCCAGCTACCTGGGAGGCTGAGGTGGGAGAAGTGCTTGAGCCCAAGATTGAGAGGTTGCAGTGAGTTGAGATCACGCCATTGCACTCCAGCCTGGGCAACAGAGCAAGACTCCATCTCAAAAAAAAAAAAAAAATTCTAATTAGTAATATATTCAGGTAGAAGGGAGGACAAATTCTTATTGAACCAATATAAATAACTACATAGTCACAAAAAGTAAATGTTTTTATTAAAGAAACTTTGTGCAAGATTTAACCAATATTGCTAATTAAGGGTATGTTAATAGACAAAACCAAATATTGTATGTCACAATTCTTTACAAAATAATTATTTGTATGTTTTTCTTGGCAACTTATTAGCTTTGTTTTTATATTAAGAATTTCTGCAAGGTATTTTTTCCCTCAACACTAAGAATTCAGAGTGTTTTATTTAGTTTTTACAAATTTAATAATTTGTAAATTTAATTGGAGATTAAAGGTAGATTAAGAAGAAAGAAAATGGGTTGTTCTCATGTTCATTAAAGTAGAAAATTAAACTAACCTCAATTAAATTGCCTTACTGAGGCCCTTTAATCCTAAATAACAACCTCTTGTCGTGCTGGTCTTGAGTTAAGCAGTCTACTTTCATGAATTCATCCGCTTCTACATTGTGAGTGTCTTGGAACTCCTGACTCATTTACTTCGTATAGTTGGAATATTGTCTGTGGGGACAAGGTCAGCCTATTCTTGGAGGCCTATATCCATGAGTCAATTTCCTGTGGTATCAATAGTATCAACAGTGTCTGCTACCGTTATTACTGGAGCTCTTTTGATATTTCTTCCAGATGACTCAAATTCTGATTGGCGCTTTGTAGAGAGGCTTTTAGGTATGCTTAAAGGGAAAGGAGGGCTGGGCACAGTGGCTCATGTCTGTAATCCCAACACTTTAGGAGGCTGAGGCAGGCAGATCACTTGAGGTCCGGAGTTTGAGACCAGCCTGGCCAACATGGTGAAACCCTGTGTCTACTGAAAATAGAAAAATTAGCCATGCATGGTGGCGGGCACCTGAATATAGCTACTCGGGAGGCTGAGGTAGGAGGACAGCTTGAACCCGAGAGGTAGAGTTTGCAGTGAGCTGAGGTCATACCACTGCACTCCAGCCTGGGCAACAGAGCGAGATTCCATCTAAAAAAAAAAAAAAAAAAGCAGCGGGGATAGGGGGAGGAGATGTTGCTAATAATAAAACTGTAAAGTTTGGTTAATTTTTTGCCATAGCAAACGACATCACAATGGGGGACAGTGGCATTCTCTGTTGAGGTGTAATACATACTCATCTAATGAAATTTTAATCAGTGATTACCGTAAAAGACAGAACACATGAAGAACAATTAGTGCATCCCGATACCTCTCCAGGGCCTTTAATTTTCCCCACAAAGTAGATATTATTATTTGTCACCAACTGAGAAGTTTACTTTTTTTAATCAGTTGGTTGACATTTATTGCACCAGTCTTTGTACATGAACATAAATATGCCTGAATCCAACCTGAGAAGTGCACAATTATTGTAACATAGCCACAGTAATCATACATAATTATTGCATTTAATTAATTTAAGATGATTTTATTGCTATTTTCTCAGAATATGGCCTTGAAAAACACAGCAGCTTCCACTATATTGAGCATAGTTTTGAGCCAATTAAATATCTGGAGAATGCAAAACATTACCTTTATTTCTAATATATCTTCATGTTAAGAGCTAGGAGGAGGATCTCTGGAGTTTCCCAGCAGCCATCTGAGAAACCCAGAGATACTGTATTCATAAATAACATCTCAGTAGTTTTACTATTTTGGATTTGAGGGTTAAATTTGGGGAATATGGTATCAAAAACAGTGTCACAGGTGGGGGCTGCAGATGTGAAGGGCCTGCTATCAATCAGGTGACCCTGGATGGACTACCCACTCGCTGTGTCAGTCCAGGATCCCAGCTGTAGTGGGTTCCTCTCTGCTACAGCACATGTTTCTAAAGGGCAAGAATCTGGGCTCCCAATAACTGACCTCTGTCTCCTCCATCCTGGCTTGTCATGATAGACCCGAACCACCCTCCCATTGAATTTGGGCCCTTGTGGCTCATAGCCACAAGGGAAATTGGGAGCTCACATGTGAAAGGCAGAATTAAGTTAACGCACCTTCTTCCAAAGTCTTACGTTTGTTTGTAGCCCAGGTGCCCCTGTTTCCAGCAGGAGTATTAGCAGTACCAGGCAGCCACTCCCCAGAGTTTGTGTTTCTGAGCTTTCCCATCATCAGTTAATTGGAAATTTCAGGAACTGTCCCTGCCTTACAATGCCTGCTCTGATCTACAGGTCTTTTGGAGACAGACAGCAGGTGATGGGGCATGCCAAAGAGATAAAAATGTCTTCTGATAATCAGGGGTCAGCAGATGAGTATGAAAGCTAATTATCCCCACTACTCAGGGAATTTAGAGGCTTCCCCTTTTGTCTTTGTAGGAATAGCAGACTTTCTGACTGTAATGTCCAAAGTTCTTTACAAGTTGAAGTACAGAAGAGATCAGAAAATGTCTTACGCACATGAGAGTTGTTATCCAAAGATTTGTCATAGGAGCAGCGACTCTAGGTGTTCTCTATTCTATTTAGAAGAATTACATTAGATTTTGATTCCTCAATGTGGCCAAGAAATAGAGCTACTTGCTGGGAGCAAGAAAGATAACATGACTTCTGAAAACTATTTATTATGAAAAATGAATTTTCATTATGTAGCAAATTACACTGCAGAAGTATTACAAAGAATTCTCATAGACATGGTATATTAAATCTCAAATCAATAATCATACATAGTCAATTAAAAATATCTTTGTTGATATCTTTCAGAACCTGGGAAATAATTTTCTGACTTTCAAATTTTTTAGTTTCTATTCAGTGGCAGAAAATCTATATTGTGCCAAACCAGTCTGAAAATTAGTAGTTGATTATATGCTGGACACAGAAAAATTTTCTATAACCTGTTAAATGCAACACTCCATTCATTGCTTAATTCTCCCCAAATAGCATAAGGTAATTAAGGCTTTTGTAAACTTTTTTCTTTTTTTAGAACAGCCTACAGTGACAGAGGAGAATGGTTATATTGTTAATTAAAGCTGGTTCATCACTCATGTGGTAAACCTGACTCACATGGAAACTTAACTATTTTATCACAAAGATAAATGTTTATCATTTAAATATGTATGTATTCACTTTTATACTTCTTGAAAGGATTTCTAGGAGTACAAAGTAAACTACTATAAATCTCTTTTCTCCCGGATGGCAATATTGCTGTGGGTGAGAAACAATTTAGTCCAGGAGAGCTATATCTAATCCGGTAGGACACTGTGGAGAATACAAGTGTTAAATTTTTGCTAAAAAACTAATATATGGCCGGGAGTGGTGGCTCACGCCTGTAATCCCAACACTTTGGGAGGCCGAGGAGGGTGGATCACCTGAGGTCAGGGGTTCGAGACCAGCCTGGCCAACATGGTGAAATCCCATTTCTACTAAAAATACAAAAATTAGCCAGGCATGGTGGCAGGCGCCTGTAATCCCAGCTACTCAGGAGGCTGAGGCAGGAGAATCACTGGAACCCGGGAGGCAGAGGCTGCAGTGAGCCAAGATGGCGCCATTGCACTCCAGCCTGAGGGACAAGAGCAAGACTTTGTCTCAAAAAAAAAAAAAGGCTAATATATGGAGATTGATTTATTATTTTATCAAAAAGGTAACCCAAATACTAATATGACTTTTTTGAGACCATCCATTTAACAAATTGACTAAAAGACTCAAAAGTTCTTTTATGTTTTATGCCCAAACTAATTAACATTGAGTAAAGTTAGTCCAAAAATTATAAACGTTTTATTGCTCATTTAAACTCATTATTTGCAGCTATTATAAGCTATAGCAAATGAAGTTTACTTCCCTCAGATATTCTACAATTATTGTATGCCCTTAAATTTGTATTTTAAAATTCAGTTTTATATTCTAGCAAAACTCTACAATTTGCCTTTTAGACAAAATTACTCTCTTTGCCTTGATAAGCAAAAACACATTAATTATATTGCATGCACTTTTCTAAATACTCAAACTGACTTAATTTCTTAAAGTAGTATAAAAGAACATGTGCATTAATCAGAACTAAGGGTACTTTTACATACTGTTCATTCTCCTACTTGATAGCCACTCTATAATGTGTAAAAATATGCAGCAAGGATATGTTAAAAATTTTATGAGACTTATCCAAAGATTTTTCACTAATTATCTCAATGAAATATTAGCCAAGCTCATAAAGCTAACTAGTATGTTAAAATTCATTTTAAACTGACACACTGCAGAGAATTTATACTAAAATATAAAAATTTACATGAAAATTGTGTTACATATGAAATTTGAATTTTTTACCAGGTAGGGTATGTGTGGTTTTACCTATACAGTATAATTATTTGTAGCCCCATCTCAAGTTACAGGAACAAATGTTTTAAAAAATACTAGTTTAATAATTCAATTCAGCTGAGCCTTAAATCGAGTAGGGGACATCTAGAAAGCTCTGGTAAGTTAAAATATTTTATAAACCAGAAAAATATGCTAACATTAATTCTAAGATTGTGATAAAATCAGAGAAAAAACATAATTAATTTAAACCAAAATTATCAAACCATATACATTTATCCAAGGATTTCCCATGATTAAAAATATTACTGAACTTTACTTCAGTCAAATTTTTGAAACGCTTCAATTTTGTTCTGAAGCACTGAAGTCCTTTGCGTTATGCGATTCTCTTACCCGCCTGCCTTCCCTTGCTTCTCGCCTTCTGACATAGCAACAAAGTCCATTAATTCACCTCAGAACTAAACCTCTCTATAGATTTTTTCTTCTGAGCTGCAGTTCAGCAAGTTACCTGTGCTAGTATACATAAGCCAAGGAAAACAGAAGCTCCATTAAACTTAAGAAATTGTTTAACCTAATTCATTAATTTTCTCCAGAGATAGGAAAATGTACAATAATTTGTTCAGAAGATATTTACATACATACAACAAGAAGTCATTATCAAATTCGGAGCCAGTGATGATTTTCTCCCTGCTTTATTGTAGACTTTCATATGCTATTTATTTATAGTCCTTATCCAGTCAGATTATAGATTATGGTAGAGATGTAATTTTTGAGGTTGAGTAATACTTTACTGTTGATGTATAGAATATTCCTCACAACTTATTTTAACTCATTTTTATATTTCTATGAGATTTTCCTTGTTTGGGGTTTTTTGTTTGTTTGAGAAAAGGGCTAGAGAAATTTAAATGCTTGAAAACCTTTAGAGTTTTCAGAAGCACCCAGAACTTCAAAGAAACACAAAGCTATTCTCATTAATGCTTTCTTAAGACAAATAAAGCAAAGCCCTACCAACAGTTAGAGCTCTCCATTTTTCAAGCTATGCAAGATTGTCTCCAATAGTTATGGCTTCAGCAGTGGTTCAACTTGAGTGTGCATCAGAACCACCTGCAAAGCCTAATTAAACGGATTCCTTGGCTCACTTGGCAGTATATGACTCAGTAGGTAAGATTTGAGAATTTGCATATCTAACAAGTTGCCGGGTAATACTGATACCGATGTCTAGGGACTATGAGAATCACTAACCTAGAGTGTTTAAAAAATGACCAATTTCTGTGCCCAATTATCTGCCAAAGTTTCCTAAGAGAAGGAAAACAGCAACAAACAAACAAACCAAAACAGAGAGAAACTGAGAGAAACAGCCACAACTGGAAACTAGTAACACAAAAACAAACCATTGTAAAAGCTAATTAACTTATTTTCATACCAATGGGGAAAGATTTTTATTTCATTTTGGACCCACAAAAAGCTTTAGGAGTTTTTTCATGTGCCAGAAGGAAGCACATAACCTCCAAATTCACAATCTATTCTTTGCCCGTTTGCTGTAGTTACTCTTCGTACCAAAGGTTCTGAGTCTGGAGTCTCTGCTTCCACTCGTCAGATAGACTTTCTCCTTACATTGTGGTCTCTCACTGAATGTTCTCACCCACTGCTTCCTCACTACGTAATATCTGCCCAAGAAGCTCCTGTCTTCTCATTCTCCCATCCCATATGCTGACATTCTTTCCAGTCCCTGCATTGTTATGAGAGCTCAGTGGGGGAGGGAGCTGAATGTCTGTATTCAGTCCACAACTACGATCTAGGATACTCTGTATTAACCATAAATAATTGATGCAAGTTTCTTCCACTCAGCCATAGCTGAGCCAGATTACCCGCAATGCTATCTCATCCCACCACAGTCTCTACGACTAATTTCTATTATACAAGGTAAGATCAACATTTGAAGTGATTGAGTTTAAACATAAAAAGATGTATTGGCTCCTGCGACTGGGCAGTCTTCAGGGTTAGTTGCTTGAGTGATCAACGATACCATTAAGATTATGATTGGGACATGAAAAAAAGAACTGGCAAATAAGGAGAGAACTTTGACCATAGAAAGGCATTTAATCCTTGTGTTGTTTTGAGCGCCCTAAAGGAAAAGACAAATTAAAGGCAGATCCTAACAGAACTATTAACAAAGAAGGAAGAGGGTGAATGAGACTCTTGAATCAAAAATTCTTAATTCTTAACTCCACCTGTGAAATCTTACTTAATCTGGTTATACTAAGAATAATCATCACACCATTCTGTCTCACATTCTAGAAGGCTTTGTAGTGGTAGAACTGTAAACAACATATAAACATTTCTGAAATATTGTGGTTGTTTTATCTTCCATAAGCCTCACACAAGCCGTGTGTATGATCATCCATCTTCTGGGCCATTATCTGATTATTGCTGCTATCTCTCGCTTTGGGGAAAGGAGAGTCTCTTTCCTTATCAATAGTATTGGATCAGCTCTTCTAATTTCATGATGACATGAGTGTTCAGGAATGATGGAAGGCAAATGTAACTCTGAGAAAACTTTGTTTAACTACTGCATTTCACAAGTCCATATCCATCCTAGAAGATCTTCCAGCCTGCTCTCTGCCTTGCTCCCAAGATGGCCACATGTAGGTCTCTTCTTTCCCATAACCAGAGGGTTATAGATTATATTATCTTTCAAAGTCTGGGATAAACCAATTTCTCACTCTAAAGAGAACAACGTGTTTTGATTTTTCCAACCCTAACCCTAGCCTAAAGTCTACCTTCTAATCCTATCTTTATTATAAATGTCCCTGGATTGATCTTTCAAGGGATTTTTGCCTACTGAAAAAATATTACTCTCACTCAAAGAATTGTGGCCTGACAAGAAATCTACAAGAGTCTTGGACACAGAGGCCAAAACATCATAACGTCTGGATTATTCAGGCTAAAGTAATATCACCTGTTGGTTACCCACAGCCCAGTCCTCAGCTTCAGACAATGCCGGAGTCACTAGTGTTCTGTTTTCTTTCCTCTATCATTCCTATTCAAAAATTCTAAAAATTTGGAGTTCCATTTCTCTTAAGAAGACATGAATACATTAGTACAGTAACATATTTATCTCTACTTCCTTGAAATTTTATTGAGAAATCCATCATTTTCCAAACTTTTCTTTCTATTGGTGTAAAACAGGGATGAATGGCCATGAGCACTTCATTGCCTCATCTCAGGTGACACTTTTCTGCCCTTTGAAAAGCCTATAATGTACTTTATAATGTAGTTTAACTTTTCCACTTCACCTCATGTAAACAAACTGATTTTCCAACTTATCAATACAGTATGAACATTTCTCCAAGTCAATTAACAAAAAGAGGAAATATCACTTTAAATGAATGCACAGTTTCTCTATATAGAGAAAAATAATATGTGTGCATATATGCATGTGTAAATATATGTATATGACTAAATTCTACAAGTTTTTAAACTATCTTTTTACTGATGGAGACTCATCATGATTTTTTTCCCCCTGTACTACAAACAAAGTAGCCATAAACATTCTAACATTCTGGAGTATGGTATCCCTTATATGAAATGCTTGGGACCAAAAATATTGTAGATTTTGGATTTTTTCAAATTTTGAAATATTTTCATATCATAACATGATATGTTAGGAATGAGACCCAATCTAAATTTATTTACATTCCCTACATATAGTATACATGTAGCCTGAAGGTAATTTTATGTATTTGTAAAATTTTGTGCAAGAAACAAAATTTTGACTGTCTTTTGGCTGTGACCAGTCATATAATGTCATATGTGAAATTTTTCACCTGTGGCATCATATCAGTGCTCAAAATGTTTCCAATTTTGAAGCATTTCAGATTTCAGATTTTTTAGTTGACCTTGGAACAACATGGGTTTCAACTGTGCAGGTCCGCCTACACTGGTATTTTTTTAAAAAAATAAATATATCAGAAAAAGTTTTGGAGAATTGCAATTGAAAAAACTAGCAGACTAACTGCATAGCCTAGAATATAAGAAAAAAATTAAGAAAAAGCTATGTACATCCTGAATGCATAAAGTATATGTATATGTTAATCTATTTTATCATTTACTACCATAAAATATACACAAATCTATTATAAAAAGTTAAAACTTATCAAAATGTATGCACACAAACCGTACAAGTCACTATTTGCAGTCAAGAGAAACATAAACAAACATAAAGATGCTGTATTAAACCACAACTGCATACAATTAACTATAGCACATACTGTACTACCCAAATAATTAGTTTTATTTTATTTTTATAAATGTGCTAGGTACAAGCATACTTTTATTATATGATTGTTTTGTTATTTGGATATATTGCTAGTGGTGAAGTCTGAGCTTTTACTGTACTCATCACCCCAATAGTGAACATTGTACCCAATAATAATTTTTCAACCCTCACTCCCCTCCAACCCTGGCATCTTTTGGAATATTCTCCAGCGTCTACTTTCCAGTGTATGTACTATTATAATAATTTTGTAGCCACCCCCTGTTGCTACTGTGGTGAGCTCATGTTGCCAGTATCTGCCATGAGCACTTGGTCTCTTCAGTAAATTCTGTATCTAAGTAAATAGTGTGTTCTCTCACAGTTCTCTTTTCATTGTGCTTAGTGTAATACTATAAATCTTGAATAACACCATGAGACCAATACAAAGTGCCACAAGTGATGCTGGGAGTGCTCCCAAGAAGCAGAGAAAAGTTGTGACATTATGAGAAAAAGTTAGATTGCTTCCTATAGATTGAGTTCTTCAGCTGCCTGCCATTTCAAAATAAATGAATCCAGTGTAAGGTCCCTTAAAAAAAAAAAAGAGAAATTCATAAGGCCTCATTTCATGCCAACAGGCATGAAAACCTTGTCCTTTCTTATCTCATATTCAAAATGCAGCTTTTATGTGGGGTACAGAATTGCTATAAGAAAGACATACCTATAGACTCTTATTTGATTCAAGAAATAGCGAAGTCATTATTTGACAACTTAAAGTAAAAGCAAGATGAAAGATCTAAAGCTGGAGAATTTAATGGCAGCAAAGGATGATTTGATAATTTTAGAAAGTGGTTTGGTTTTAAAAATGTCAGGATAATGGGAGTAGCAACTTCTGCCAACCAAGAACCAGCAAGTGAATTCTCAAATGCCGTTAAGAAAAACATTGAGGAGAAAGGATATCTGCCTGAATAGGTATTAATGCAGCTGAAAGTGCCCTATTCCAGGGGGAAAAATAAAAGCCACAAAGGTCATTTATTAGTAAGGAAGAGAAGCAAGCACCAAGATTTAAGGCAGGAAGGGATAGGCTAACTCTACTGCTTTGTGCAAATGTAGTCGGGTTTATGATCAGGGCTGCCCTTAACTATAAAGCTGCTAACCCCTGAGTCTTGAAAGGGAAAAGAGAAACACTAGTTGCCAGTCTTTTGGTTGTACAACAAGAAGGCCTGGACTATGAGAATGCTTTTTCTGGATTAGTTCCATCAGTGCTTTGTCCCTGAAGTCAGAAGTACCTTGCCAGTAAGGGACTGCTTTTTAAAGTTTTTTGTTGTTGTTGTTTAATTGGAAAATGCCCCCTGGCCACCCAGAACCCCATGAGTTCAACACCAAAGGCACTGAAGTGTTCTCCTTTTCCCCCAAACACATCTCTACTTCAGCCTCTAGATAAGGGAGTCATAAGGACCTTTAAGGCTCTACATATGGCACTCTATGGAAAGGTTTGTCAACATTGCAAAAGAGAAACCCAATACAGAGAACATCATGGAAGTCTGGAAGGCTTACACCTTTCAAGATGTCATCAGTTGATATAGAAAACCATGAAACTCAAAACAATAAATTCCTGCTGGACAAAAGTACAATTTGTGTCCAGATGTTGTGCATAGCTACAGAATTACGACAAACCCAATTTAGAGAAAACCATGGAAAGAAGTATGGATATGAAGGGAAAAAAAGGTGTGGAGTGAAGGGTTGCAAGATATGGATCTTGGAGGAATTTAAGAGCTAATACACACCACACCAGAGGAATTAACAAAAGATGACTTCATGGAGATGAGTGCTTCCTAACCAGTGCCAGATAATGAGGAAGAAGACATAGGAAAAGCAGTGCCAGAAAACAAATTGGCATTCAACAATCTGGCAAAAGAGCTTTGATTATTCAAGACTACTTTTGACTTCTTTTATGACATAGACCGTTCCATGATACAGGAACTGAAACTAAAGCAAATGGTGGAAGACGGATAGGTACTACACTGAAATGTTTTTAGAGAAATGAAAAAGCAAAATAGACAGAAATAATGATGTATTTTTGTAAAGTTTCACCAAGTGTGCTTGCCTCTTTTGCTTCCCCTTCCATCCCTTCACCCTCTTCCACCTCTGCTACCCTAAGACACAAAGACCAGCTCCTCCTCCTCCTCCTCTGCCTACTCAACATGAAGACAACAATGATGAAGACCTTTAGGATGATCCACTTCCACTTAATGAATGGGTCATATATTTTCTCTTCCTTACAATTTTCTTGATTATAATTTCTTTTCTGTAGCTTAGTTTATTGTAAGAATACAGTATATAATACACATAGCATGCAAAATATGTCTTAAATGTAACGCATGTTATCAGTAAGCCTTCTGGTCAACAATAGGTTATTAGTTTGGGGGGAATCAAAAGTTGTATGCGGATTTTTCACTGTGTGGGAGGCCAGCTCCCCTAACCCTATGTTGTTCAAGGGGCAACAATATTCTTTCTCACTGGCACTTTACTTTCCATAAATTCAAATCCCAAAAGTAGAACTGCAAGTTCAAAAGGATTTTTAAAAAAATAATTACTGTCAGATTACAGAAAGTTTCCAATTTACATTTTCACTACCAATGTACAATGTTGGCGTCCCTGAATCCTTATCAGCAATGAATTTTTAAATATACTATAAGAGATGAAAAAAATTTTTTTAAATTTGGAATTCCCTGATCACTAATGAAGTTAAGCATCAATATTATTCCTTTAATATGCAAATGCTGAAAATACATTTAACTATAATAGATGTCAAAAATCTGTAAATCAGGCTAGGTGTGGTAGGCACTCACCTGTATTCCCAGCCACTGGGAGACTTGAGTCCAGGAGTTCCAGACTGTAGTATGCAATGATCAAGCCTGTGAATAGCCACTGCACTCCAGCATGGACAACATAGCAAGACCCCATCTTTTTTTTTAAAAAAGAGTCTATAAGACAAAGGTCCTCATAAATTAAGAGAAGCCAAGACAGTCACTGTGACTGCAGAATATTTTAATTTTTTTTTATTATATTTTAAGTTCTAGGGTACATGTGCACAACGTGCAGGTTTGTTACATATGTATACATGTGCCATGTTGGTGTGCTGCACCCATTAACTCATCTTTTACATTAGGTATATCTCCTAATGCTATCCCTCCCCCCAGCCCCCCACCACAGAGCAGGCCACAGTGTGTGATGTTCCCTTTCCTGTATCCATGTGTTCTCATTGTTCAATTCCCACCTGTGAGTGAGAACATGCGGTGTTTGTTTTTTTGTCCTTGTGATAGTTTGCCGAGAATGATGGTTTCCAGCTTCATCCATGTCCCTACAAAGGACATGAACTCATCCTTTTTTATGGCTGCATAGTATTCCATGGTGTATATGTGCCACATTTTCTTAATCCAGTCTATCACTGATGGACATTTAGGTTGGTTCCAAGTCTTTGCTATTGTGAATAGTGCCGCAATAAACATACGTGTGCGTGTGTCTTTATAGCAGCATGATTTATAATCCTTTGGGTATATACCCAGTAATGGGATGGCTAGGTCAAATGGTATTTCTAGTTCTAGATCCTTGAGGAATCACCACACTGTCTTCCACAATGATTTAACCAGTTTACAGTCCCACCAACAGTGTGAAAGTGTTCCTATTTCTCCACATCCTCTCCAGCACCTGTTGTTTCCTGACTTTTTAATGATCGCCATTCTAACTGGTGTGAGATGGTATCTCATTGTGGTTTTGATTTGCATTTCTCTGATGGCCAGTGATGATGAGCATTTTTTCATGTGTCTGTTGGCTGCATAAATGTCTTCTTTTGAGAAGTGTCTGTTCATATACTTCTCCCACTTGTTGTTGGGGTTGTTTGTTTTTTCTTGTAAATTTGTTTGAGTTCATTGTAGATTCTGGATATTAGCCCTTTGTCAGATGAGTAGATTGCAAAAATGTTCTCCCATTCTGTAGGCTGCCTGTTCACTCTGATGGCAGTTTCTTTTGCTGTGTAGGAGCTCTTTAGTTTAATTAGATCCCATTTGTCAATTTTGGCTTTTATTGCCATTGCTTTCAGTGTTTTAGACATGAAGTCCTTGCCATGCCTGTGTCCTGAATGGTATTGCCTAGGTTTTCTTCTAGGGTTTTTATGGTTTTAGGTCTAACATGTAAGTCTTTAATCCATCTTGAATTAATTTTTGTAAAAGGTGTAAGGAAGGGACCCAGTTTCAGCTCTCTACATATGGCTAGCCAGTTTTCCCAGCACCATTTATTAAATAAGGAATCCTTTCCCCATTTCTTGCTTTTGTCAGGTTTGTCAAAGATCAGATGGTTGTAGATGTGTGGTGTTATTTCTGAGGGCTCTGTTCTGTTCCATTGGTCTATATCTCTGTTTTGGTACAAGTACCATGCTGTTTTGGTTACTGTAGCCTCGTAGTCTAGTTTGAAGTCAGGTAGCGTGATGCCTCCAGCTTTGTTCTTTTCGCTTAGGATTGACTTGGCAATGCGGGCTCTTTTTTGTTTCCGTATGAACTTTAAAGTAGTTTTTTTCCAATTCTGTAAAGAAAGTCATTGGTAGCTTGATGGGGATGGCATTGAATCTATAAATTACCTTGGGCAGTATGGCCATTTTCACGATATTGATTCTTCCTATCCATGAGCATGGAATGTTCTTCCATTTGTTTGTGTCCTCTTTTATTTCCTTGAGCAGTGGTTTGTAGTTCTCCTTGAATAGGTCCTTCACATCCCTTGTAAGTTGGGTTCCTAGGTATTATTTCAAATATTATTGTAAAACAATGAGATATTGAAACATACATTGGAGCAAACTCTTCTTCATTCTTAAATCCTTTCAGCACAGAGACAATCAACTGACTGTCTGGGTACTACCTGACCACTATTGGAGTCTCTTTCATCTGCCTGAGTCTGTGCAACAATATGAAATTATAATTTTACTATGCACCTAAACTTTCCTCAATATATTGAATTCTTACAGAATTTGAAGAGTCAAATTTTGTAAATCCAGTTACCTTTTTCCACTACTCTAGGCCTCATATACTATCTGGCCTAAGGGTTAAAGGTCCACAATTGAATAAGCCAAACTTGTTAATTTGAGGGTAAAGCATGTCAAGAAATCTGGCCTTAATGTCCAATGAACTTATGTCATATTAAGTAGCTGGATAGAAACATGCATTCCAAAGTGGATACTGTTTATCAGGCTCAGTGCTCTATTCTTGACAGTAAATCCCAGAATAGGGTGGATGCTTTAATTTTGTATTAAATAGTATTAGGTGTAATATCAAAACCACTAAGGGAACACTAATGATGAGAATAGGAACACTAGCTGTGGAGCTGGCAATTTTCTATAGAAATCCTATCTCTTTCAATTGCCTGTTTAGTGGGCAAGTGTTTCAGTTCCTATAATATCTAAATTGGAGAAAATCACCCCACCTACTTCTTCAGGTGTTATGATAATTATGAGGGATAACATCTTTTTAAGTGTTTAACACAATTCCTCACACATAGAAAGCAATAATAAACATTGGCTAGCATTGTAAGGATGGATTATTGTCTTTCAATGTGTTTTCATACATTTTCTTTCTGGGATCTTGAGTGAAACATGTGGATCTATAACAAGAACAAAATGATGTTACCTTGATGATCTCTATGTAGGGTCACACTAAAGGCATCTTAAAATATTTTGCTGGCCAACAAAAGACACCTCCTGTTCTAATTGGGCATTGTCCTTTTCTTTAAACTATGCAGACAAACAATATTATAAAGTGAGAACATCCACATAAAAAACCTAAACATAAATCTTAATAGTGAGTTCATGAAAATTCTTACTGATGAAATGGCAATGTCACAGACTGACTGTTTATGTCCCCCCAAATTTGTATATTGAAATCCTAACCCCCAAACTACTCGTGTTAGGAGATAGAGCCTTGGGGAGGTGATTAGGTCATGAGGACAAGATTCTCATGAATGGGATTTGTGCCCTTATAAAAGAGATCCCAGAGAGCTCATTGGCCCCTTCCAAAGTATGGGGATACAGCAGGAAGTTGCCATCTATGAGCCAGAAGGGTGAACCTCACCCCAGATGCTGAATCTGCCTTGATATTGGACTTCCCAGCCTGCACAACTGTAAGAAATTTCTGTTGTTTATAAGTTACTCAGCTTGTGGTATTTTGTTACAGCAGCCTACACAGACTAAGACAAGTAGCATTTTGAGGATTAAAATTTCTTCATAAATGAATAGAGTATGCCCTGTTAAACCATATTCTCAGCTAACCCCATTTACTCACTGTTCCTCTTTATTTTAGTTTCACATTTTTGCTATTTATCTCTGTAATTTCATTCATTCTTCACAATTTGCCATTCTTATACTTCGAATCATGTTATCAGTTTATAATACCTCCATCAAATGATAGTCTGCATTTGTTTATCCTTGGCTGATTCAAAACACTTGGCATAATTTCCTTAAAGGAAATCATCTTCATCTCACCTCACAACACTGTATTATTTTCAATTAATTTCCAATAAACTCTTAATTGTCCATGCTCTGTCAGAGTTGGCAGAGTTAATCCCTGTTTAAGCTAATAGGTTCAACTTCTTCAACAAACAAATCTGGCTGCTGACAAGCCAGAGTATTAATTAAATCTAGTTTCATTGCTTCTCACTTTCCTTGATCTTTCTCTCTTGTTCTTTGGGAAACAGTCACAGAGTTCTGGCGCTAATAAATACTATAAAAAGTAGGAAATACAGTCTAAAGAAGCAGAATATTCTGTTTAAAGTTGATGTGGTGCTTTTTGTGCACCAAGCATTGGCTCAAAAGCCTGAAAATTAGGCAGCAATACTTCCTAAGCTCATCTTCAACCATAAGGCAGAAAAGCCAAACATATCTGAAAATATAATATCACTGGTACCTTATACCAGCACTAAGAATAAGAAAACCCTGGAAAGTGGCTCAAGTACAATATTTTTCTATTGGAATTAATTTTTCAAAATGGAAAGGACTTCATTGTTATTTTTATTATAAAATTAGTATATGTTTATTATTAAAAATAAGTACAAAAATCTCTAAAAGAAAAAGGGAAAAATTACCAGCAGTTCCACATTCCAGATATCATCACTGTTAGCATTTAGGATACAAATATCCAAACACTTTTTCTATCAATACATTTAATTTTTAAATTTGACCATTACGCAATGTACACATGCACTAAAGCACCACACTGTACCCCATAAACATGTGCAATTATTATGTCAATTAAAAACAAAATAAAAGCATTTTACAAAAAATCATGTTATTTTTAATAACTTGTTTTTCTAATTTTATACACCATAAAATAAATGTCTTTACATGACATTTATTTTATGATAATAACTAATTTACTCATTTAAACAGCAAGGTACATTTCATTCTACAGATATACTATATAATATTTACTCTGATCTCTGGATGAGAATTTATGTTGCCTGTAAATATTGTATCACAAACATTATAAGAATAATCTCTGTAAAGGTTTTTTTCCTGTATTATTATTTGGGTAGAAAAATTACTAGAAATAGAATAACTGGGTCAAAGATTAAAGACAATTTAAATTTCAATATATAGAATCAAATTATTCTCCAAAATATTGTACTCTACAGTATTTGAATTTTGATTTTTTTCTCCATTTTCACTACTGCCAATAACTTTAATCTTTGTCGATAAATGAGACAAAAAAGACGAATAATGCAATATTATACAAGGGAGATTAATAGGTAGAAAAAGAAATGTAATGGCCAGGAGTAACAGAAGATGTTCAACATCAATCCAATCAAATTAGTCTTTAAAATGCAATAGCAGTCAATGTTAGCAAGAGTGTAGGTATTAGACATTCTCATAGGAATATAAACTAGGGCCATGTTTTAGGATCATATTAGATCGCAGCAATTAAAAAATGTTAAATTCATATGTTCTATAGCAACTTTTCAGGTTGGAATTTATCACTTGGAGAATCTTGTAAAATACATAAACCAAGATATGTTATTAATGTTATTGGTAGCCTATTGTTTAAATAAAAAATATATTTATACAATACAGTTGTTAAAAGTTAAGAATATCTTGAAGGTAAATTATTAAACAAAAATAGAAAGCCTAGGCCAGGCAAGACTTCATGTCATGCTTGTAATCCCAACACTTTTGGAGACTGAGGCTGGAGGATTGCTTGAGCCCAGGAGTTTGAGACCAACCTGGGCAACACAGTGAGACCTCATCTCTAGAAAAAAAAAAATACAAAGCTTAGTTCTGAACATCCTTTTGTGTAATACTAAAAGATAAAATTTTATTTTCTAACTTGTTTAAGATCTATATTCTATACGGGGGATGTGTATTAAGGTCATTTTTAAAAAGGTACTCAAGAAATTGTCAACAGTGATTATCTTAAGGAGAGATTCTAGATGTCTGGGGGTAAGAGACTAGAGGAAAGAGAATTTTATATTTCATTTTTACCTTTATTTAATTTTTTGATTTTCTTACTGGGTGCATGAATTATATTTTTATGTCAGCATGTTTTATCAGATAAATAAAATTATGAGCTATTTCTGTTTTCTCTCATTTGTTTTATGTTTAAATAAAGGAAAATGAGATATGTCTTTTTAAATTAGATAATCTTGAGTCCATGATTATTATGAAAGCCCTCTGTTATCTTTTTCCTTCCTTTCACAATGACTATTTATGTTGTAGAATCATTAATTTCTCAAGACAAATGTCTTAGAAGGTAGATACAAAAAAAGGTATACATTTTTTGATTCAAGCTAATTTCATGTTATGAACAAAATTACGTAATGTCATTTCTAAGACCTTTCTGTGATCTATCAATCCACTAGGTTAAAGAGCAGAAATCACTTCCAAAACAAATCCTTTTGCAGTCAGCAAAATGAAGCAATTATATGAATAAGTTTTTCCACTTGGCCTATTTTTCTACCCAGGGTTATTAATCAGTCTCATTGACTACATTTTCCGTTTTACATCCCCTTTCAGGCACTACTGCAGATGGCCAAGCATATCACATTATGTAAATAAAATAAAACAAAATCTTCTCCCATTGAGCAAATGGATATACTTCACCTCTAATGCTTCCAGTCTTTCTCAGATCATTCAAAAAGCATGATATGGTTTCCATAAAAGGACATTCATCCCATTTGACTAACTGGAATTTCTTTACTCCAGCTAATCTTTACCAAAGAGCTGAATTAATTCAAGTTGACACCCTGTTATCTACCAGCTCTTCCAGCCCTTTTGCTTGATTGTTTTGTCATTTTGTCTTTTCTTTTCTTCTAAAGTGGGAGTATGGAGATTTACCCTTCTGAAACAGCTGTGTCACATCATGATCCTTGAGGATATCAGCTCTTAACTGGCTGCACATCAAAATCACTGTTTCCTTTGACCAATACTCTAGACACACTCAAGCAGAGATTCTGGATTCTGATTTAATTGACACAGAGTAGGGCCTGGGCATTTTTACAGCTCCCCACATGATTCTATTGTGCCTCATCTATCCTAGCCCTTAAGCAGGACCAAACATTTGTTCTATCTTAATTATTATTCTCTTAAACTTAGTCCAATTCCTTACAACTGATAGCTTTCTATATACTCATCTGCCTTGAGTGATGACAATTGATATGGTTTGGCTGTGTCCACACCCAATCTCATCTTGTAGCTCCCATAATTCCCACATGTTGTGGGAGGTGCCCAGTGGGAGATAACTGAATCATGAGGATGGGTCTTTCCTGTGCTGTTCTTGTGTTAGTGAGTAAGTCTCATGAGATCTGATCATTTTTAAAATGGGAGTTTCCCTGCACAAGCTGTCTCTTTGCCTGCTGCTATCCATGTAAGATGTGACTTGCTCCTCTTTGTCCTCCACCATGATTTTGAGGCCTCCCCACCCATGTGGAACTGTAAGTCCATTAAACCTCTTTCTTTTGTAAATTGCCCGGTCTCAGGTATGTCCTTATCAGCAGCATGAAAACAGATGAATACAACAATACTGTAACAAATTGACTCACATCTGTTCTCTTTATAGGAATTGCAATGCTACAATATTAGTGGCTCTTAATTCTAAGAGTGTTAAAAAATATTAATGCTTGTCTCACCCCTAAAGTCTAGGGTGTGACCTGAGTATTAGGTTATTTAAAACTTTTCTCAGGTAATAGACATGTGCAGCCAAGGTTGAGAACCACTCTATAGGGCCAAGATATGTAAGAAAATTCAAGTCCTTTAGCTGGGCGTGGTGGCACACAGCTGTAGCCCCAGGTACTCTGGAAGCTGAGGTGGGAGGATTGCTTGAGCCCAGGAGAGAGAGGCTGCATTAAGCTATGATCACATCACTGCACTCTAGCCTGGGTGACAAAGTGAGATCATGTCAAAAAAAATAAAAAGAAAGGAGAAAGAAAGGAAGAAGAGGAAGGAAGGAAGGAAGGAAAAGAAGAAAGAAAGAAAGGAACAAAGAAAGAAAGAAAGAAAGAAGAGAAAAAGAGAGAGAGGAAGAAAGAAAGAGAGAAAGAAAGAAAAGAAAAAGGAAGGAAGGAAAGGAAGAAAGAAAGAAAAAGAGAGAAAGAAGAAAGAAGAAAAGGAAAGAAAGAAAGGAAGAAAGAGAGAAAGAAGGAAAAGAAAGAAAATTCAAGTCCTGCCTTGTAAAATGCAGTACTCCATTTTCCCAAAGAGATCCCAAGGGAAACTTAACTACAGGATAAAGACAAACAAAAGGACATAAATTACAACTACTCTAGGTTCACATATTATTTTGTTTCTGAAATTGGTTTTAAAATATCTATGTCAGAGTTCATTTCTAGAACTTTATCTCTAGAAAACATATTTTCACTTCTCAATACAGGAAAATGGAGACTGGAAAAATGAGGTTGGAAAATGATTTCCATGCTTATCTCTCAGCTTCTTTTTTCAACTTCCCTTTTTCATCTCCGTATCTTCACTGATACCTAGGAATCTCTGTTACATCACAGTCTTCAAGAGCTTTGCTTGCAGCAAATTAGTTAAGACATTAGCTTTCAAAAGTATATGATATTCTCTCACAAGCATTTGTCTACTTTTAATAGGGCAAGCTACGTAAAGATGTTAAATCTCATTCCAGAAATACCACATCTACTCTACCTATTTATGAGAACAGTCGTCTCTAGACCAAGATAGACATTCATAGTTAGGAAATAAATCCCTGTAGGCTTTTTCCACAGTCCCAATATGTCCCCTACTGTCCCGATTTTAGCAACAAAAATCCCCCATCCAGAAAATCCTTCATTCCTGAGTAAGTTGAAAGATTGGTCACCCTATTTCTATCTGTGTCTCTTTCTTTCATAATTGGCTCATAATCATAGCAGTCACAATTTTGAAAAATTTTATTTTACTGAATTACTCATTGCTGTTTTCTCATTTTTTAAATAATAAACACTTATTAAGAAACATTGGAAATATACCGAAAATAGTAAACAATAAAACAGAAACCATTGGCAGAAATAGTCACTATTAAAATCTTAATATACTCCCTTCCAATGTTGTTTCTGTTAATGCAAATTAAAAAATCAGAGATTCGCCTCTGTGAACTAGATCTTTTTACCTTTAGATATTATTTGACAAATATATAGCTCGATCATCTATCCAAACTTCTCTTTTACAGACTCCATGCCAATTAACCTTCTCCTATGAAACTATTATTTCTTCACATAGGATAAATATGGTTTTTGACACACAAACTTTCTTAGTTACACTGCAATCCAGTTGTGCATCTCTAAATTTATACCAATTGGATTTAGAATGATCATTACTAAAGAGGCTTGGTCTTATCTCTTGCAATTTGCTTCTTCCTTCTTAAATTCAATTCTTGTAATGTAACTATAATTTGGGGGTATTTTTTGCCTCATATTCAAATTCTCTTTCAAACTGAGGTACATTTCTGTATTTCTGTATTTGTATATTGTATATAATAGTATAGAAAACAATAATGAGATTATAGTGTACATAAAAGTTTTGAATTATAATTAAATATTTAATATATAAATATATTAAATATGTATAAAATATCTGATTAGTAATAAGATAATAATTTAAAACCTCTGAGTTTTAAAACTAGGACTTTGAAATACCAGCAAAGGCCACCTGCTTTGACCAGCATCTCTTTTCCCTGCCTGCTTTAATCATGTCTTGGGTCCTGACAAATTTGCCCCCAGATCCCTCCCAAATTACTCTCCAACTCTGTTCTATGTTTCAGGAAAATAACATTTATTTCCCAGTCTCCTTTGCCCTCCATTTTCCCAGTAGGCTATCCAGTGAGAGATGCCATAAAAGCCTGCCTCTTCTCTGCAGGGCTGCTTCCCACCAGATAGCCCCTCCCTCCATGGACCCAATTCCCATTAGCTCTAGCAACCTGCCTGAAGTCCTGGCCCCTTGGCTCTGATAATAACACCTTCTTCCATGATCCTTCTAGTCCTAGGGGCAGTACTGGTTTCTTGCTCTTGAGCTGCTGACTCACCAAGCCTGGTTTGGCTTCCATCACTTGTGTAATCAATCACCTGTATTAAATCACCTCTGCTTGAAAGACGAAGAATAGTTTCTGATTTATAAGCAAACACTGAAAGCTCTTCTATTTCTTGTTTGCTAAACAAGATTTGTCAAAGTTAAATATTTTATTTTATTGAATTCACTTTTTGCCTCTTCTACAATGATGATTTGCTTTTCCTCCTTTAACTTGTTAATGTGATGAATTATACATAGTTTTTTTTCTATTGTTAGAAATCCTTGCATTCATGGAACAAACACAATTTTCATACTATATTATCTTTTTTACAGATTTCTAAACTTAATTTGCTAACTTTTAATTTAAAATGTTTGCCGTTAGGTTCATGAGGAAAGTTGGCATGTAATTTTCCTGTCTTACACATTTCTCATATAACATTGGTATCAAGGTTGTACTGGCCTCATAAAATGAACAAACAAATGGACCTTTTTTTATTCTGGAGTTGTTTTTATAAAATGGAAATAATCAATTTCTTGAAAACATTTGATAGAACTCACCAGTAAAAATGTCTGGGCCTGCTGGTTCTCTTCTTCTAAGAAGAATTTGGAACTTATAATTAAAGCTCCTTTAATGTGTTAGAAAACTTTCCAGGTTTCCTTGAACATTAATAAATTCCAATGATGAAAAGCCCTCAGATATTAAATATAACCTTAAATATAACCTTCCCCCAATTCAATTTTTCTTTTGCAGATATGATTAGATACTCTAATTTTTCAACCTCTATTTCACCTATCCATTTTCCTTTCCTCCTCTGTACTGTCTTCAGCATAATTTGTTTAGTCTAACTTCCAACTCACTTATTTTCTTTTTGGTTCTATCCAATATTGTGTTTAACCTGTCCATTTAGTTTTTAATTTTCATTATATTTTTTATTTCTAAAAGATCTCTTAAGTTCAGTTTCAATCTGCTTAACATAAGATACATACACTGTCTCAATTTATATTCCTGGCACACCTCATTGATTTTTTAAACCTATTAAACACAGCTTTTATAGTTATATAATCATCCTAATATCTGAAATCTTTATGGGCATAATTCTGTTTCTGCTCATGATGTTTATTTCCTCATGAGTTTTGTAAGAGTCTTACTTTTTTCTCATTTTGGATGAAATTTTACCTGTGGCCATTCTTTGAGACATGGGCTGAATGTGGGTTTCTCCAAAGACACTTTGCCTTCGTCTTGTGTTTGGTGGTAATACCAACATGGGATAACTATAAAATAAATTATCAGTTTCATGTGTGGGTTTTTTTAAAATTATACTTACAGTGAAAATTTAAACCACAAATTCATGTGAAGATGGCCTTCTAATTTTTCCTCTAAATAGCACCGAGTTTGAGGCAGGAAAATTTCCTGGTTGTCTCCCCCTGAGGAACAGGTTTTTATCTAGTTTATCCTTTCACTGAAATTATAGTCCTTCATATCTCTGGCTTTCAGCAGTTTTCTCCTGTAAGACTGCTATACTGGGCAGGCACTAGGTTTTGTCTCACACTCTCCCATATCCCAGGTGGTCATAAAAATTGAAGCTCAGGGTACTAGGGCCAGGACTGTCCTTATGGAAGCTTCTGGTTTGGGGGTCTGCATACCTCTCTGGATTTATGTATTCTCCTTATGCTTGGCCTATGTGGTTCACCTTAATTTCTATTCAAGTCAGTAATATACTTTTGAAAAATGACATGTACATTTTATCTGGTATTTGTAGATTTCATATAGCAGGATAGTGATTCAGCAAATTTAGTCTGTCACAATGCTAGGAATAGAATTCCCCTAATTTTTGAAAAAATTATATCAAATCATGTTTATTGCCATTAATAGTCTTATAAATGTGCTTTTAAGTAACTGCATTTTGTCATAGCTCATTGTGATTGTATATTTAACTAATTCACCCCTACCTCATGTTTTTTGGGAGTGAAGGTTGTACTCAACTCATTATGTTAAGTAATACTACAGTAAACATCAATCTATACATGCATTAATAATGATTTCCAAGAAAGTAGTGACACATGGTCATAATCATCTTTGAGGCTGATGGTACATATTTTCAAATTGCATCTCAGAAATAATATACCAATCTGTGCTCTAATCAGCCGCATATGAAAGTGTCATCTTTCTGTTCTCCAACCAATACAACTACTACTGTTTTTATACCTACAAATCTGACAAAGATGGGAGAAGGCATCTTATAGTTTCAATTTGTATTTCTTTGGTGACCAATGTACTAAATTACTCAATGTACTAAATTACTCTTTTCCTGTTTATCATCCATTTCAAACAAGATGTAAACCATTTTAAATTTTTTTATATTAATGCAAATCGTAAATCACTACTTTATTTATTCAATTTCCTAAGCAAAATTATATGTTGTCCCATTTATACATTTTATATTAGATCATTCTGCCTTACATTTATATCCTAAAAACTGTCAGAATTATATAATAATTATGAACAGTTGATTATAAATAATGCCTTTATTAGGATATTTCTCCATAAATCTAAATTTCATCAATCTTTCTTTAAATATCTCTACACAATTTCCTCTTGTATTATATTAATAATTGCAGATACACTTCTTTTTGCTATTTCTATTAATTCTTTCCTATTCCTATTGTCTGTTAGTCTCCCATTTTCTCCCATAAAATAAATAAAAATTTTTCTATCAGATTCTGTGATATATTACTTCTTATTCCCAGCCTTCAACATTTTAAGAATTCAGATTGACCTTTTCTCCCATTCTTATTTCAAGTTATCAGCATGTCAATACTTGGGAAATCCCATCAAGTGTTTAACAGTGCATACCTTACTGATTCATTATTTATTTCAATTTAATCTTTCTTATTTTCATTCAACTTTTTTCTCAGTAATACAACTTTTTCAAGCTTTTTATTTTCTAATGCATTTCTCCAAATAGCAGCCATAACCCTTATATGCCCTCTTTCAATGACAACAACAAAAGTGTGCTAGGCTTCTTGGAAGAAAATAATTATACCAATTTAAGAAGGAGAAAATTGATGTACTGATAAACAAATGGGCATCTTAGGATCATGTTTCTCACAAGTAAGGCAGTTCCAGAAATTCCTAGGACCCTAATGGGTTTTATTCTAAATAGGTTAAACATATCACTTAAAAAATTGTTTTCTACAGTTCTCTAATATTGCTTACAATTGTCCACGTTTCCATGTTTATAAACTTGCACTTTTTTTTTTATGGAGTTTTGCTGTTGTTGCCCAGGCTGGAGCCCAGGCTGGAGTGTAGTGGCGTGATCTTGGCTCACTGCTACCTCCACCTCCCAGGTTCAAGCAATTCTTCTGCCTCAGCCTTCTGAGTAGCTGGGATTACAGGTGCGTGCCACCACACCTGGCTAATTTTTTGTATTTTTAGTAGAGACGGGGTTTCACCATGTTGGCCAGGCTGGTCTCGAACTCCTGACCTCAGGTGATCCACCCGCCTTGGCCTCCCAAAGTGCTGGGCTTACAGGCATGAGCCACTGCTCCTGGCCTTATACTTGCACACTTTTTAATTCTAAGACCTTGCTACTCAGTGAGGGATCCTGGGACTAATACCATCAGCTTGACTTGAGGCCCTCTTTGAAAGCAGACTCAGAATCTGTAATTTATCAGGATCCCCAGGTAATTTGTATGTGCAGTCTAGTTTGGTAGATCTGCTCTGGCAGACTGGAAGACTCTTCTATCTGCCTCACGTAAGGTGCAGGTGACATAATTAGGTAATCAAGCAAAAGATCACATATTTTAATAAGAAAGAGACACTGGCTATTATTTTGAGTGGCAAAACAGGTTATTCAGTCCCAGTTTAAAATGGAAATGACAGAGACCAAGATCAAGATTTTTAATTTGAGATGTGCCTGCGATGCAATTACATTTGCTGAATGAAACTGCTTCAGTAATTAGATGCAGGTTTCTTCTCTCTTCTTTTTGAGATGTAAAGAAGACACAATAGACTCATGGAACTTAAAGAACTAGACACCAGCTAACAAAACATGCTATCCAGACTCTTCCATTTCACCATATTGCTTTCTTGAAAACATAGGACAGTGCCAGTTTAGCACTGAAAAAAATCAGTTCTCCTAATTCTAAAAAGAGGAGACAGCCAGGCGTGGTGGGTCACTAAACATACAAAAAATTAGCGGGCATGGTGGTGCATGCCTGTAATCCCAGCTACTTGGGAGGCTGAGGCAAAAGAATCACTTAAACCCGGGAGGTGAAGGTTGCAGTGTGCTGAGATAGCGCCTTTGCACTCTCGCCTGGGCAACAAGAGCAAAACTCCATCTCAAGAAAAAAAAAAAAGAAAGAGAGAGAGAGAAACTGTAATTTCATTTCAGAAGTTTTATAGGGTACTATTTCCAATTCTTTTTTTCTTACTCCATTAAAGTGTAATTAGCAGTATGTGAAAATTTCCACTTTATCCTCAATCAGAAGCCTCTCCTTCCAATTAGCATATTTTTTTTCTATTAACTTTGTAAAGTGGGATTCTTGTTTTATACATACCCCTGGAAAGTATACTTAAACTGTGAGACCCTGGGATTTTATATTTCCAAATAGAAGATACCATCCTCTTGTATCACAAAATGTATCTAAGATGGTTTGGATTATATTTAAATATTCTTGAATGAAATAGACTTACTGACTGAAGCCAATTATTAGATTTTTCCACACCAAAATAAATGCAATAGGAAAAGATGACAGTTCTATGTAGTATTCCTGCTTCCATATTGCACAAATTAGAAACATACATATTCTATTATGTTACAGGGTCTAGGGCTTTGGGAGGACAAGGCTGCAGGCAGCCGAGATTGTGCCACTGCACTCCAGCCTGGGCGACAGAGTGAGACCTTTTCTCAATAATAATAATAAAAGTAAAAAGAAATATAATATTTAATCAATATATGCACACACATGGGTTTATCATGACACACATGACATGTGTGTACAGTGAAAACAATGAGTAAATCTAGAAACCTGTATTGCCTCAATAGCTAGCTAAGTACTTCAATATGCATGTTTATTTCAACAATTTTGTGTTAAGCTTTAGTGGTAAATAAGCAGAGTACACTGGCCATAATGAATACTCCTTTTGATGAGGGTTATCACTACACAATTAAAATATTACATAGTTGGCTGGGCACGTTGGCTCACACCTATAATCCCAGCACTTTGGGAGGCCGAGGCAGGCAGATCACCTGAGGATGGGAGTTCAATACCAGACTGACTAACATGGAGAAACCCCTTCTCTATTAAAAATACAAAATTAACCAGGCGTGGTGGCACATGTCTGTAATCCCAGCTACTCAGGACGCTGAGGCAGGAGAATCACTTGAACCTGGGAGGCAGAGGTTGTGGTGAGCCGAGATAGCACCATTGCACTCCAGCCTGGGCAACAAAAGCAAAACTCCGTCTCAAAAAAATATATAATAATAAACAGATATATATTATATATATAATAAATATAAATATAATATATAATATATAATATATATATAATAAATATATAATATATATTATATATATAATAAATATATAATATATATTATACATATAATAAATATATAATATATAATACATATAATATATATATTATATATAATAAATATATCATATAGATGATATAGTTTAGAGTTAAATACTGACTGCTCTTGGGAACTTTGAGGTATTCTGAGGGATATAAATAACACGAAGAGAATAGCACATTGGCTTGAAGCAGATTAGAGTCTGCTACCTGCGTGAATACTTGCTTTTCATGAACTATGAGGATGCCCTTAGCTTTTGAACCACTTCTACTTGTGTTGAAATTTACCCTTTAATTTTGGGGTTTGACAGGCTCTGCCCTTCTGTTATGCTTGAGTCTGGCTTTTCCTACTCTGACTCACTTTGATTCTTGACCTCTGAATCTTATTCCTATTTTACAATAAACACACATCGCACATACGCCAATTAGTAGAGTGGAAGAGGGAAAAATTGCCAAGGAACTATGTTTAATTTTGTTCCTTTCGCAAACCAGACACCATAACAGAAAAATTTTAGGAACATGTGCATGTTCAGTAGCCTTCAATGCAATTATACTGGTTATTAAAAAGTGTTGGATAATCAATATTTTTTAAAGATTCACTAGTCCCTTCTCATAATTTTAGAACTTTGGGAAGTAATAATACAAATGTATTTTTAGCTGTGTCCTTTAATCTTTTACTGTTTCCTCTATGTGTGGTGTTTGGTTTGTGTGTGTGTGATAATTATTATAAAGATCAGAGGCTAACAGAGGTGTTAATCACGAACTTTTAAATTTTTTTATTTTTATTTTTTTATTTTTTTTAAGAGACAGAGTCTCGCGGTGTTGCCAAGGCTGGATGCAGTGGCGCCAACTCAGCTCACTGCAACCTCCGCCTTCAGGGTTCAAGCGATTCTGCTGCCTCAGCCTCCCAAGTAGCTGGGACTGCAGGAGGGCACCACGATGCCCCACTAATTTTTGTATTTTTAGTAGAGATGCGGTTTCACCATATTGGCCAGGCTGGTCTTGAACTCCTGACCTCATGATCCGCCTACCTCAGCTTCCCTAAGTGCTGGGATTACAGGCGTGAGCCACCGCGTCTGGCTGCATGACCTTTTAACTTGTCTCATACACTCAATATTCTCAAGATATACCTTCCAAAGTGAAAAATTATGGCACTTTGCAGCCCTGTCCACTAACTGAGAACTTTGATGCTTTGGATTTTGGAGACCTCATTTTATCACCTGGTCCTTTTACTTCATGACTTGTCATGCTGCCACCTTTTGATGGGATTGAGATCAAGATAATAATTCCCAACTGGTCAGGAATATTGTGCCCCTTTGTTTTTATATCCAGATGCAATAGAGCCTCTGACACACCACTACTATTGTTCTTAGGATTTGGAACAAAATGCTTCTTTCTTTGACAAAATAAATGTTTTCTTTAAAGAACTCTTGATTGATCCTGGACCATTGTAGAAACTGAAGTCCTATCAATGCAAAAAAATATGACAACATGAGCTGCTTATCATGAAATAAGTGTTTTCCAATTAACTATCCTGCTTCATCAGCAGGTAGGAATAATAGAATCTATACCTATGTCTTCATGGGAAGTTCTCTATGGCCAGTTGATTAGTGAGGGAAAAATTGAGCCTGATTTACAGAAGTCACTGTACAACATCACAGCAACAGCCAAAAGTAGATTGCTTAGGCATTATAACCTACGTGAATGCAATTTTAAAAGAAATTCAGCCTATGTAATTGGTTGTCCACGATGTCTAGAAGGAGAGATATTATTGATGTATATGTGGCAGCTAATAATTTGTCTAGATAATTAGGGACTTGGGGCCAGGCCTGATGGTTCACACCTGTAATCCCAGAACTTTTGGAGGACAGGACAGGTGGATTGTCTGAGGTCAGGAGTTCGAAACCAGCCTGGCTGACATGGTGAAACTCCGTCTCTACTAAAAATACAAAAATTAGCCAGATGTGGTGGTGTGTGCCTGCAATCCTAGCTACTTGGGAGGCTGAGGCAGGAGAATCTCTTGAATCCAGGAGGAAGAAGTTGCAGTGAACCAAGATTGCACCACTGCACTCCAGCCTGGGCAACAAAGTGAAACTCTGTCTCAAAAAAAAAAAAAAAAGAAAAGAAAAGAAAAGATAATTAGGGACTCAGAAAGACAAACACTGAAGGATTGGTGGCAATGAGTTTTGGGGAAAAAATATGTAGATGAACCACAGAAAATGAGCCAGAGTGTAAGAATATTTGTGCTTAATACAAATGCTCACCAAACTATCATCAGGAAGGTTATCAAATAGATATGAAGGTATGAAACAATCTCTTTCACCAGGCACTACATTGCTTGCTCAGAAGGCTAATAAACAGCAACATTGGTGGTAGCAGTAGAGAATACACATAGGTTTAGCAACATGTTGGACTTTACCACTCTCGCTTACAAAAGCCTATTTAGCTGTCAAGACTATTAGGTGTCCAACACACAAGCAACAAAGTCCAAGGCTAAGCACACAATAACATATCCTGGGTGAATAAACCAGTCACCTTTTGTCAGACTTGTTGATTTTACTGGAGCTCCTCTATGATAAAGGCAACAAGGAATTTTGTAAATGGAATCTACCTTTATCCTTGAATTACATTTGCTTTACCTGACATCATTTTTCTCTGATCGCCACTCTCCATGGGTACATTGAATGCCTTATATATACTGCCATAATATCCTGTTCTACATCCTTCTATTAAAAGAACTTGTTGTATAACAAATGAGTAGATATTCATTGGACTCACCTGGTCCACCATTTATCCTATCACCAACCAAAATTATTATTATTATACAATGGTGAATATTTTATTAAAGACTCAATCACAGTGCCAGCTGGAGACAATGGCTTATAAGGTTGTACTCATGCTAGACGATGTGGTGGTGTATCCTCTGAACTAGTAACTAAGTATAAGCTTGTCTGGTGTCTCCCATATAAAAAATACAACAATCTTTGATATTTGTTATGAACGTTGAAGTGACTCCTTTTGTCATTACATCTAATGATCCACTCCAAATACTTGTCTCTTGTCTCTGAGATTCTAGGTTTTTGCAGAATTAGTACCCAAAGGGAGAGTCTTAGCAGTATTCCATTTTACAATCCATCCTTCGTTAGAGGATGAGAGACTTCTATCTAGCCTTTTAGGTTGCCTGAGACCTTTAAACAAACTGTCAAAAATTTAAAATTTAAAATGCGGCTACATTGTTGCATGGGGTAGTAAATCTTGACCTTAAAACTGGTATTTGTAAGAAAAACAGAAAGAATTCAGGGATCCCCTTTGATGGCTCCTAATTCTATACAGTCCTGTAAATATTCCTGAAGACTAACCAGGCGTGGTGGTGCACACCTGTAATCCCAGCTACTCCAGAGGCTGAGGAAGAGAATCACTTGAACCTGGGAGGCAGAGGTTGCAATGAGCTGAGATTGTGCCACTTCACTCCAGCCTGGGTGACAGAGCAAGACTCTGTCTCAAAAAAAAAAAAAAAAAAAAAAGAAGAAAGAAAGAAAGAAAGAAAGAAAGAAAGAAAGAAAGAAAGAAAGAAAGAAAGAAAGAAAGAAAGAAATTAATGAAGACTGCCACAACTTGGAAGCAACCAAGGTATCCTTCAATAGGTGACTGCATAAGCAAACTGTGGTATATTCCTACAGTGGAATATTATTCAGTGCTAAAAGGAAAAAACTATCAAGCCACAAAAAGATACAGAAAAAACAAAGACATTTTGCTAAGTGAAAGAAGCCAGTCTGAAAAGGGTACATACTGTGATTTCAACTATACGACATTCTGGAAAAGGACAAACTATAAAGACAGTAAAAAGATCAGTGGTTATCTTTGCAGACGCCACCATCACTGTGAGCCCTGTACTATCAGCCATGGTCAACTCCGTCGTCTTTTTTGACATCACCGTCGACGGCAAGCCCTTGGGCCGCATCTCCATCAAACTGTTTGCAGACAAGATTCTAAAGACAGCGGAAAACTTTCGTGCTCTGAGCACTGGAGAGAAAGGATTTCGTTATAAGGGTTCCTGCTTTCACAGAATTATTCCAGGGTTTATGTGTCAGGGTGGTGACTTCACACGCCATAATGGCACTGGTGACAAGTCCATCTATGGGGAGAAATTTGATGATGAGAACCTCATCCGAAAGCATACAGGTTCTGGCATCTTGTCCATGGCAAATGCTGGACCCAACACAAATGGTTCCCAGTTTTTCATCTGTGCTGCCAAGACTGAGTGGTTGGATGGCAAGCATGTGGCCTTTGGCAAGGTGAAAGAACGTGTGAATATTGTGGAAGCCATGGAGCACTTTGGGTACAGGAATAGCAAGACCAGCAAGAAGATCACCATTGCTGACTGTGGACAATTCTAATGAGTTTGACTTGTGTTTTATTTTCACCACCAGACCCATTCCTTCTGTAGCTCAGGAGAGCACCCCTCCACCACATTTGCTTGCAATATCCTAGAATCTTTGTGCTCTTGCTGCAGTTCCCTTTGGGTTCCATGTTTTCCTTGTTCCCTTCCATGCCTAGCTGGATTGCAGAGTTGAGTTAAGTTTATGATTATGAAATAAAAACTAAGTAACAACAACAACAACAAAAAAGCTCAGTGGTTGCCAGGAGTTTGGGGATGGGTAGGGAGATAAATAGTTCTGAAACAGGCGATTTTTAGGGGATTGAAAATACATTGGTAATAATGTAATGATGGGTACATGACATTATGCGTTTTGCAAAACTCCTAGACCTGTACCACACAAAGAGTGAACCCTAATGTAAACTGGGGGTGGGATAAAGGTGACAGTATGTGAGAACTCTGTACTTTCTGCTCGATCTTTCCATAAAGCTAAAACTGCTCAAAAAATAAAGTCTATTATTTTGTTAAATGAAAGAAATTAACAATGACCATGGCACGCTCACACAAAAAGATTATCAAGGACATTTCTCTGTCAGGAATGAATATTTGGTCATCTCACAAGGCAAAACCCTGACTAGCAGAGGTGTTAGCTGAGGGCACATGGCCATAGATGCCAATAGTGACCTGCTGGCCACTTGCAGAAAGGAGAGCCTTGACATCCAAACACATTGTTTCTCTTGTATTGTCCTGTGCATACTTATGTATCTTAACAACTTTCCTTCTTTCCTCTCCATTTATCCCTCTTTTTAAAACAGGGCTTATTGAGGGTGATTAACTTAATTTTTAAATGATATATGGCAGAATGTCAAGAGAGTATAGTGAAGAACTTCGTAGAGGAATGGACATAACCCAGAATTCTTAGACTTAGAGTACATGCTGTGATTGAGAATTTTTTATTGTTTCATTGTTCAAGAGATTGTAGGTACATGTTCAATTATTAGAGAAATAGTTGCACTCTGTTAGAAGGAAGCTTGGGTCTTTCGTGTTTACTTTCAAAAGGGAAAGTTTATATTGATATTGAGCAAGTTAAAGCATGAAAATTTATTATTTGATGTTTGTTGCTGTGTTTGAGGAATTCCTCAGCCTCTCAGTTTTGACGAAAACAAGAAACCACCTCCTGCTTTAGAAGCTAAAATGCCAAATGCTTGCTTTCTCAGCCTCCTTTGCAGCTAGGGTACAAGCATATGACTTAGGTTTTGCCCATCTGTTTGCCAGTGCTGAATTTCCACTTCGGAATTAATAAAAAAAGAAGCAGATTCAGTTATGCTTTCTCTTGTTTCTGGTGGAGGCCATGTAGCAGCTGCTACAATATCTGTTGCAAAGCGAACAAGTGGGAGTGGTGCTGGTGGCTTTGCAGTTAGCCTAGGATTGAGCAATTGCTGCAATTGTTGCTGCCTGCATCTTCGGTGTTATTTCTTACTGGTGGTGACAGTGGTTTCCTCCCTGGATGAGTTCTACAGCATGGTTTGGGGTACATTTCCTGGCTGCCTAGCTTTGATCTGGCTTTCTAGCCTTCTCAACAGTTCTACAAGTTCCCCACTATTTCTGTGATAAACCTATTTATTGTTAATGTCAGCCATAATTGGCTTCTGTGGTTTATATTTTTTAAAATTCCAAGATATACCAACGTAACAGATAGCTCAACAAACATATGTCTTTTTAAATTAAGATATATTCTGTGTCACATGAAGTACAATGGACAAAATGCAACAAATTGAATTGAGCAAAAGACCAAATATATATTAAGCCTGGCTGGTCTTAAAAATGTAACTGGATACAGCCAGGCATGGTGGCTCATGCCTATAATCCCAGCACTTTGGGATCCTGAGGTGGGCAGATCACCTGAAGTCAGGAGTTTGAGACCAGCCTGGCCAGCATGGTGAAACCCCATCTCTACTAAAAATGCAAAAATTAGCTGGGTGTGGTGGTATGCCCCTGTAATCCCAGCTACTCGGGAGGTTGAGGCAGGAGAATCACTTGAACCTGGGAGGCAGAGGTTGCAGTGAGCCCAGATCATGCCAATGCACTCCAGCTTTGGCAACAGAGCGAGACTTTGTTTCAAAATAAAAAAATAAAAATAAAAAAATAAAAACGTAACTGGATAGACCTAAGGTTCTTGAATAAGCAGAAAATAATTTAGGTAAAAACCAAATAATAAACTAACATTCTGAAAGGTTTAGGATTTGGAGGCACAAATGTCTTAGCTAAAGTGTTCATTCTAACCTCACAGGAAAATTGAAATATGAAAATATACAGAAAAATCTTAGGCAGTATTTGTCAATTTTAAGAAACAACTATTTACAGGTTTTTCAATAGGCATTACATTAAAAACGAAATATGTAGTTAATAAATATGAAAACTGTGGATATAATCAACACATTTATTTTACTTCTTGAAGTGTTAACATGTGCTGTCTCAAATATCAACAGTGTACACGTGAGAAAAAACATTTTACATAGATTTTCTGCGACAGAAAACAGCATCTCATTAGACATCCCAAGTTTTTTCATTTGGAACACACACCCATTCCCCAGTATACTAGGGGTAATAATAATTTAAAGAGTTTAATTACTTTTTACTACTAGAAAACTAATTTTATGTTTGGCACAAATTTCTGAAATGATATTCTACTGCAAAGAATAATACCTATATATGGCCAGAATTACTTTTTTTCTATAACATTAAGATAATACTTGTCAGCCTGAGCAACAAAGTGAGACCTCATCTTTACAAAAAATAAATAAATTAGATGGGTGTTTTGGTGATGAGGTTCTGTAGTCCCAGATACTCAAGAGGCTGAGGTGGGAGGATCCCTTGAGCCTAGGAGGTCGCGGTTGCAGTGAACTATGATTGCACCACTGCACTCCAGCCTGGGTAACAGAGCAAGATCCTGTCTCAAAAAAAAAAAGATAATATTGGTATAATTCAGGGTTTTTGCCTCAGTCCCCATGCTTCTTCATTTGACCTTCCCTGACTCCCTGATGAATTTTAGTTTGAATTTTTGCTATAGTCCAGAAGTTAATTTAAAAGATCTTAAAATTTCCACCTGCCTAGATATTACTTATTTGTTACACTTTAGTCCATGATTTCTATTGTCATTTACATTACCTCAAAAATATGACCTGCTGAATTTCTGCTGTCATGAATTGACTAACATATTTTGGGCCTAATACCTTTACATTTAGAATCTTTTTGTTTTGTATTGGAAAGTATTGTAACTCCTCCATTTATTGGTCAAAAGCACTGCTTATTTATTTCCATGCTTAATCAGAGAGACTTTCTAATAGTTATTTAATATTATTTACGTTCATTCACTTGTTGACTATAATGACGTTAGTTGCTATGATATTTTTAGGTCATTAATATAATAAAAATATGTCAACTTTTCTCTTCCAATGTGTCTTTGGGTTATTAATTTTTAACTCAGATATCAAGCTTGTAAAATGTTTAATGGCTTATAATAATGTCTAACACATAGTATCCACTGAGTTCTGATAACTCCAGTTTATCAAATTCTCTTTTTTTATACCATTCTCCAAATGCAATGCTATTTGGTTTTATTTTTATTTTTTAAAAATGTGCTGCCTGTTTTGAGTCTCTAAAAGTGTGAAATGCTCAGTATTTTCCAAATGTATTTGAACATGGAGTGTTATATTTACTAAAAAGTTAACAAGCAAGTATTCCCCTAAACGTTCTAGCAAATACTACTAGTACAGACAAATTATGATGTAACATTATAGT
Organism: Homo sapiens; assembly: GCF_000001405.40. Classification (NCBI taxonomy): domain Eukaryota; kingdom Metazoa; phylum Chordata; class Mammalia; order Primates; family Hominidae; genus Homo; species Homo sapiens. Next base: position 504,591 of record NW_025791753.1, read on the forward strand.
ACATTTTAATTTATTAGGTTAATTTTGGTTGCAAACAATCAAAATTCAAAATGGCTTGTATAATAAAGAGATTTTGAACAATAGTATAGGCTCAAGATAGTTTAATGCAGAAGTTTAATAATAACACAAAATAAATGCTTCTTGTCCTCCCTGTTTCTTCACTCTACCTTAAGTGATATAGATTGAATGTTTGTATCCCCCCAAAATTTGTATGTTTAAATCTAATCCCTAGTGTGATGATATTTGGCAGTGGGTCTTCAGGGGGTGATTAGGTCATGAGGACAGAGTCCTCATGAATGAGATTAGTGCCCTTATAAAAGAGACCTTAGAGAACTTCCTAGCCCCTTCCACCATGTGAGGGCACAGCAAAAAGACAGCTGTCTGTGAACCAGGAAACAAATCCTCATTAGACCCTGAATCTGTTGACACCTTGATCTTGGACTTCCTGGCCTCTAGAACTGTAAGAAATAAATTTATGTTGTTCATAAACCATCCAGGCTGTGATATTCTGGTATAGCGACCTGAAAGGACTAAGACATTAGGTCTCAGTTTTATTCTATGGCTTAAAATATCATGTCATGAGTAGACAACTTCCAATCCTAGTACCTCGTGCTTCCTCTGCTGCATTTGGAAAGAAGGCATTTCCCTCTTCAATCATGGAATGAAAAAGTTGTACTTCATTCTGATTTGATTAGCAGAAGGCACACGTTCCTTCATGCACCAATTACAGTGACCAAGAATTGGACATGGGACTCATGTCACTTAAACATTGTGAAGCTGAGAAATTCATTATTTGGCTAGGAGTGTGTGAGAGCAGGGAACACTGAATGCTTGAGACACCACCACGATGTCCACTACATGTATTTCCATTTCAGTAAACATTTCCATTAAGATAATGCTAGAACAAAATCAGAGGAGTAGATCTTAGTGTCCCCAACTTTTGTTGACCTAACAAAGTGAAGTTGCTTCAACTGGACACTTCTGAACCACATTTATGCCTATATGTTCAGTTCAAATTTATTATAAGCAATTTTCAGGTCCATATGTTTAGGATATTTCATTTGTTTGGTTATGCATTATATGTATACATGTTTTTAACATACATACGCCTCTACATATATTTTGGAGGCCTTTACACAAAAGTGTTTTCCCTAAAGGGAGAAGAGAAAAGTTGAATGCAGAAGTAGAAAAAAAAATTCATTTGCACTTGTAGTATTTATATCTAAATATTTTATGTTACAGATGTATTAATATTTTTATAATTTTAAACACTACTTTAAAACAGGGAGATGGTTTACCTTCAAAAAATTTGGCTCTCAACTCAAAATTATCAAAGTATATCCTAGATGTAGTTTGCTTGTCAGGCTTCTACATGAAAATCTAAAATGCTCCTGCATTTCAGAATGAGCCTAACATATGTAATTGCACTCATCCACTATGTCTACATTGCCAACCAAATACTGACAGAGAGAGCTAGAGTGCCACAGAGAGCTGGCAGTTCCTCTGTTTGCATTAGCTTCTACTTGCTTCTTCATCTTTCCTCTATGTCTGACACATTTCATGTTACTGTTTTTAAATGTTCCCTTAGCTACAGAGCTAATGTGCTTATATCTGTAAGGGGTCTCATGTGAACCTCTAAATAATTAAAGATTCATTAGCTCCCTGGAGGGCCACCATGATTTCCAAAACAAGTCACAATACCTAAAGATCTAATTGTACAATTTCCCTCAGAAATAGCCTTGAGAAAGAAGTCACATCACTCAGCAATGAGTATTATAATTACTCACAGCAGTTTTCATGGTACTATATAACATCCAATTTACAGAATTAAAGGTAATGTAATTCGAAAGAAAAATAGCTGGTTTTAAGGAATGAATGGCCATGTCAACTATTGGAAGCATCTTTGAACTAGAGCCTCTATGTTCGGGTTTCACCAGGTTTATGTTTTTAATTAATATCCTATTCAGCTTGCTGTAATTTCCATTGAGGTTTTCTAGAACAAGACAAGTCAGAAATTGATCTTTAATTATAAGCTAAGAGCAAACTGCCAAAGAACTGAGAGAAATTTTGAAGAAACAGGTCTATCAGGACTAACCATTTTAAGATAATAAAGACTAATCAGACACACACACATATGCACAAAAAGAGGGAGAGAGAGAACAAAAATCCTATGAAATACATTTTAAAAAATCAATTTTTTTAAGAAGAAGCATTTGATCTGCCAAAGAGAAGAGTTAGTAGTTTGGAGATCTGACATTGCTAATCTCAGGGCAAGAAAATAACAAAATAAGACACCAAAGAATTACCTAAACTGTGGAAGATGAAGCTTTCAGAGTTCTCACAGAGAAATGGGATACTAAAGTACCAAGTTTAAGAGGTGTAATCTATTAATGTTTAATTTATGTCCCAAATACTTAAAAACTATGTTTCATTGTTATACATATTTATTTTATTATAAAGATAATGAATGCAGTAGGGTTAGATTTAAATAATTCATTGGGTTTAAAATGAGAAATGAAAGTCTGGCTTTTTACAACCTACAGTCTTATCACCAAAGTTAGCTATTGTTAATAATTTCTTGTCCATTCGTGTATGTGTTATGGTTTCTTTCTTAGAAAGAAGTATGCTATACTAGTATACATACTATTTATTCATGAACCTTGCACTTATCATGTAATCATATGTCTTAGTGGTCTTTTCATAATAGATGTCTCTCTTTCCCATGCTGTCAGTGGTGACTGCATGAGGCATTGTACAGACGTACCAATAATTACTTACTCTGTGTCATATTGATGGTTATTCAGATTGTTTTCACTTTGCCCTTGCAGACAACACTGCAATGAACATCCTTATGCATATATTATTCCAAATACATCATCGTGATGGCTGTGTGAGAGAAATACACATTGTTGATTTTCTTTTTTATTTTTTATAATTTCAGCTTTTGATTTTAGATACAGTGGGTACATGTGCAGGTTTGTTACATGGGTATGTTGTATGTTGTATAATGCTGAGGTTTGCTGCATGATTGATCTGATCACTCAGGTACTAGGCATAGTAGTTTTTTTTCAACCTTTACCCCCTCCCTCCTTCTACCCTCGAGTAGTCCCCAGTTTCTATTGTTCCCATCTTTGTGTCCACGTGTACTCAATGTTTAGCTCCTGCTTATAAGTGAGAATATGTGGTATTTGGTTTTCTATTCCTGTGTTAATTCGCTTAGCATAACGGCATCGAGTTGCATCCATGTTGCTGTAAAGGACATAATTTTATTCTTTTTTATGGCTGCAAAGTATTCCATGACATATATGTACCATATTTTCTTTATCCAATCCACAGCTGATGGGCACCTAGGTTGATTCCATGTCTTAGCGATTGTGAATTACACTGCTGATTTTAATAGAAACCACTAATTTTTATGCCAACAAAATCATCAATGTGCACATGCTCCAAGGCTGTGTGAGCATAGCCCTTTTTCTTGAGATGTCAACAACACTGGGTTTTATCAAAATATAATTTTTGCCAATTTATTAGTTAACAAATGCTAACTCAGTGCTATTTGGATTTGAACTACCACTGGTGCTGAGCAACTTTTTACATATTCACTGGCAATTTATTTATCTTTCTCTGTTGTTTATCTTTTTCTGTGTAATAATTTTCCCTATCTTCTACTCTTTTAAACATTAAGTTTTCACTGTTTTCTTAATAATTTTTAAGTTTAAAAAGTGACCTTTTGGCTGGACGCAGTGGCTCACGCCTGTAATCCCAACACTTTGGGAGGCCAAGGCGGGTGGATCACAAGGTCAGGAGATCAAGACCATCCTGCCCAACATGGTGAAACCCTGTCTCTGCTAAAAATACAAAAATTGGCTGGGGTGGTGGCACGTGCCTGTAATCCCAGCTACTCGGGAGGCTGAGGCAGAAGAATCACTTGAACCAGGGAGTTGGAGGTTGTAATGAGCCAAGATCACGCCACTGTGCTCCAGCCTGGCGACAGAGCGAGACTCTGTCTCAAAAAAAAAAGTGACCATTTTATCTGCTGCATATAATTCTAATGATATTTCTCAATTCGTTTATCTTTTAACAATGATAATATATAATGTCTTGCTATTTAGAAAGATTTTTAAAAGTATTTTATATAAACAAATTTTTATTCTTTGCCATTAATACTTGCAGGTTTGGAATTTTCAGGACCTCCTCAAAGGCCACCTACAGGAAATGCTCTTCAAAGACATTTCACTTTTTCCCCACTTGATTATGGAGCAAAGACTAACACTGGCAATGCTTTGAAGTACTTGAGTCAAATGGGTCTCTCATGTGGTCATTACTATACTCACTCTCAGGCTCCAGTGCAAATTGTTTCCTTACGCCAACTACTCTTGCTTTCCTTTAATAGACCTATTCCTCCTGGGCTGTCTGAAACTAACATTTCATTGTAAATAAAGTCCTGCAAATCCTTGGTATCTCAAAGAACCCTCCTTCCATTTAGTTTTAGGAGAACTTTCCTCCTAAAACTCTATTCTTCTCCCTGGAGTCCAGATCCCCATTCCTTGCAACAAATGAACTCTTGATTTGAGCACTGAAGGGAGATAATTGGAAGTTTGACTTTGTGTTCTAGGTTTTCCCTGCCAATATATGCAGCGTCTTTAAAACTAATTGGGCTGCGGCAGGAGAACTGCTTGAACCCAGGAGGAGGAGGTTGCAGTGAGCCAAAATTGCACCATTGAACTCCAGCCTGGGCGATAGAGCAAGGATCCATCTCAAAAAAAAAAAAAAAAAAAAAAAAAAAAAAAAAACAGCAAAAAGAAACTAATTAGGTTCAAGAAGTTCGAATGAATTCAACTAAGACAAGCTCTTAAGCAGACATGTTGGAAGTTCCAGAAAAGACAGTTTGGGAAAATATTTTTATTAAAAAAAAAAAAAAAGACTGTCCTCCACTTCCTCACTCTTTCTTCCCACTTATTTTCACTCCACTGGTGCAGTTTGGTGTCAACTCTCCTCACTCTACTGAAACTGCTGCAGCCGAGGTTACTAGTCATTTAATTAACAAAAGCAATAGATTTTGTTTTTTTTAAATGCATTATACTCTACTATTTTGTGACATTTAAACTATTGACAATGTCTTTCTTGAAAATGTGTCCTTTTTGTTTTTTTCAAAACACGACTTTCTCCTTGATGTCCTCCTTTTTCTCTCATTATTTCACCTTTACATTCTCTGCTGACACCTTTCACCTTACCAAACCTTAATTAAATGTGTATGCTTCCCAGTCTCCCATTCTTGGCTCTCTTCCCTTCCCTCTTATTGATCATTATTGTATTCTGTGATCTCACCAATTCTCTTGGCTTTAACAATAACCAGATGACTCCAGAAAACTATTCAAAATTCCGGACCTATGGAGACTTTGCACCCAGATACGTACCAACAACTCAACCTCAGTTATCTCTAATATTATCTCATTAAGTGCCCTCTAACTACAGAATGACTCCTCCTTCTGGGTTTCCTCTGCCTGAATGGCACCACCATTCAGTGGCCCACGACAAATGTGGACCTCATTTGGAACTTCTCCCTTTCCCTCATGTTTCATTTTCTCTTGGCTAAAGAGTTATTAGATTCTTCATTTTTAGCTTTTCTCTAGCCTATCTTCAATTTTATAGTGGACAGTTATGTATACCCTATATCCCAGGAGAGAAGGGATATCTTCTTCTATGCCCCTACTATGAACTAGCATATCCTTTGAGTCCTTTCTTTGTATGAAGCACTGGGGAAATTTAATCAACTTCATAATCACTTATAATTCTCACAGTAATTTTATGAGATAAGTTCTATTTATTATCCCTCTCTTAAGGATGAGGAAACTGTGGTTTAAAGAGCTTAAGTAATTTGGGCAAATCATAAAAGAAGCAGTGAAGACAGAATTCAAATCTAGGCAACCTGAAATCTGAGCCTGAGCACTTTGCCTCCCTAATAACTATCTCCCTTTGAGAGTTGTATTACAAAGTTGACAACATTTAGCAACCCTTATTCCCCTCCCCACCCCTATCTCTCTCCAAGAAATCTGCTGTGAGGTAGAGAATGTGTTGATTTTCTCTGCAGTTTTTAGTGCATAGCATAGGGCTTAGAAAGGAGAAAATGATGAAAAATATTTATTAAAATAATTGTTTTTCTTTGATAGTTGTTATAACCATCTAATTGTGAGTGCTTAACAATTACTATAAAGGAGAATGGAAATCACAGATCTTTTCACAGAATTTTTTTTTTTTTTTTTTGAGACAGAGTCCAGCTTGTCACCCAGGTTGGAGTGCAGTGGTGCGATCTCAGCTCACTGCAACCTCCACCTCCTGGGTTTAATCACTTGCCTTGGCCTCCTGAGTAGCTGAGATTACAGGCGTGCACCACCATGCCTGGCTAATTTTTGTATTTTTGGTAGAGATGGGGTTTCACCACATTGGCCAGGCTGGTCTCAAACTCCTGACCTCCAGTGATCCACCCATCTCAGACTCCCAAAGAGCTGGGATTATAGGCTTGAACCACCATGCTGGGCCTTTCTCAGAGAATTTACAGTTTACCTGGAAATGTAAACTATATATACTTAAACTGAGGGATATTTACAAAAGAGCTTTCTACTTAACCCACAAGAATCTGTATTAATAACAAAGCAAATCAAGCTTGTTCACAGGCAACTGAATGGAATGAATGGTTTTGATTGGTCTTGCCAGTTATATTTCTAACAAGAGAAAATTCAATGTGAGCCTCATTTGGAAACAAGATATTACAGAAAGGAAAATTTGGGATTAAGGTCAGATTTGGTGCAACTATGCTAGATACAGAAAAGGCAAACTTTCAGCTCAATCCCCAGCTAAGTACAAGTTCAATGGTGAAGGCATAAGAAAATGAGCCATTATAATAAGTCTGAAATAAGTTTATGATTCCACCTCAATATGGGCATGCAATATATTCTAATATTTAATCCCTGGAAAAAATGATGACATCACATTGAAATCTTGACTCATAAGAGAACTTTTTTATGCTGTTCCCTAAGTCAGTTTATTTCTACTTCATTCTTGTGTTAAGGGCAGGCTCAATTCTTACTCATTCAAAAACAGTATCACCTGAAGCTTTTCTTTAATTCTTGTTTTCTCTGCAGTGACAAAATTAATCAAGGGGTTAAAATGTATATTAAATTATATATGTATTATATATAAAAGTTATATAGTATAGATCAGAGAAGAATATATTGCATATGTTATAGGCTGAATTGTGGCCTTTCCCCAAATTAATATGCTGTACCCTGCCCCCTGCCATCCCAGTATATCAGAAGGTGACTATATTTGGAGATAGAGACTTTTAAGAGGTAACTAATGTAAAATGAGGTCACATGTCTGGGTCCTAATCCAATATCACTGGTGTCCTTATTTGAAGAGGAAATTTAGGTACAGACAAACATGTGCACAGAAAAAAGTCCATGAGAAGACAAGATGAGAAAATGACTATCTAAAAGGCAAGGAGAGAAATTTCAGAATAAAATTAACACATCTGATGCCTTGACCTCACACTTCTAGCCTCCAGAACTGTGAGAAAATAAATTTCTCTTGTTTAACTCATCCAGTCTGCAGTAATTGTTATAACAACCCTAGCAAAGTAATATAGGAAGTATATATATATATACACATATATATATACACACATACATATATATATACACACATATTTGTGTGTGTGTGTGTGTGTATATATATATATGATAGAGTAGATAGATAGAGACATATACAGTCATCCCTCAGTATTAGTGGGGTATTGGATTCAGGAGCCCTGCATATACCGAAGTCTGCACATACTCAGGTCCTACAGTCAACCTTGCAGAGCTTGCATATGAAAAGTTGGCCCTCCACATATGTGGGTTTCACTTCCCACAAATACTGTATTTTCAATCTGTATTTGGCTGAAAAAATCCACCTATAAGTGGACTCACACAGTTTAAACCAGTGTTATTCAAAGGTCAACTGTTGATATATAGATATATAAATATCTCATATGTATAGAGCAAGCAGGAGAAAAAATCTCTAATCTCTCTTCCTTCCTGCTCTTTTTGGATTGCAAACTCTTCTCTCATAAGTACAAAAAGTAATGTTAACAAAGGAAAGAGAATTGGAAATAGTAGTGTTTTTGACCACTAGTGTTTTGTAATTTTAGAAAAAAAAATTACTGAAATGTAACTTTTTATTTATATTGAGATGTTTTGACTCATACTCCAATCATACAGAAATAACAGATAAAATATGAAAAAGACTTCTTTTTACATACATAGCTGGATTAAAATATTAGAAATAATTTTCTTCCCTCAAAGGATCCCCTATTTAATAAATGGTGCTGGGAAAACTGGCTAGCCATATGTAGAAAGCTGAAACTGGATCCCTTCCTTACACCATATACAAAAATCAACTCAAGATGGATTAAAGACTTAAATGTAAGACCTAACACCATAAAAAACCCTAGAAGAAAACCTAGGCAATACCATTCAAGACATAGGCATGGGCAAAGACTTCATGACTAGAACACCAAAAGCAATGGCAACAAAAGCTAAAATAGACAAATGCGATCTAATTAAACTAAAGAGCTTCTGCACAGCAAAAGAAACTCTCATCAGAGTGAACAGGCAATCTAAAAAATAGGAGAAAAGTTTTGCAATATACCCGTCTAACAAAGGGCTAATATCCAGAATCTACAGAGAACTTCAACAAATTTACAAGAAAAAAACAACCCCATCAAAAAGTGGGCAAATAATATGAACAGACACTTCTCAAAAGAAGACATTTATGCAGCCAACAGACACATAAAAAATGCTCATCATCGCTGGTCATCAGAGAAATGCAAATCAAAACCACAATGAGATACCATCGCATGCCAGTTAGAATGATGATCATTAAAAAGTCAGGAAACAACAGATACTGGAGAGGACGTGGAGAAATAGGAATGCTTTTACACTGCTGGTGGGAGCGTAAATTAGTTCAACCATTGTGGAAAGCAGTGTGGTGATTCCTCAAGGATCTAGAACTAGAAATACCATTTGACCCAGCGATCCCATTACAGGGTATATACCCGAAGGATTATAAATCATGCTACTATAAAGATGTATACATGCACACATATGTTAATTGTGGTGCTATTCACAATAGCAAAGACTTGGAACCAACCCAAATGTCCATCAATGATAGACTGGATTAAAAAAATGTGGCACATATGTGCCATGGAATACTATGAAGCCATAAAAAAGGATAAGTTCACTTCCTTTGCAAGGACATGGATGAAGCTGGAAACCATCATTCTCAGCAAACTATCTCAAGGACAGAAAACCAAACACTGCATGTTCTCACTCACAGATGGGAGTTGAACAATGAGAATGCATGGACACAGAGTGGGGAACATCACACACTGGGGCTTGTCAGGGGGTGGGGGGCTGGGGGACAGATAGCATTAGGAGAAATACCTAATGTAAATGACAAGTTGATGGGTACAGCAAACCAACATGGCACATGTATACCTATGTAACAAACCTGCATGTGGTGCACACGTAACCTAGAACTTAAGATTAAAAAAAAAATGTCTTCCCTCATGAGGTACAAAGCCAAGCATTACACTGGGGCCATGATAGTCCAGGTTGCTGAAAGATTTAGAACTAAAGACTGAAAATTGGGATATATATTGAGAGAGAGAGAGAGAGAACAAATGGTAACCTAAATTTAATAAAATAATAATAGACAAATTAGGGTAACAGGCATATGAGTATTTTTTGTTCTAACAATTCTTTTATTTTCAAACTTATCTATAATCTTACATTTATTTCCCAATAAAAAGGATTTTAAGTTAAAAAAATAAAGTTTTTCTGTAGTAACATTTTCACAACTAGGGCCTTTAAGACTGAGGAAATACTCCAAGCTCTGAGCAAACTCAGTAAGTATAAATCCATATGTAGACATACCACAGTAAAATGCAAGATACTAAAGACTAATACAATATTTTCAAATCAACCAGAGATGGAAGGCAGATTACCTACAAAGGAAGGACAATTACTTTATCACAGACTTCTCTTCATCAACGAGAACAGACAATACAGGAATAACGTCTCCCAAGTTGTGAGGGAGAATAACAGATGACATGAAATTCTACAACCAAATTAAGCATAATTCAATGGGCAGCAGTTAACAGAATTAAGCTGTTTCCAGACATCTATGGAGATATTTAACTCAAAGATGTCACTGTAAATTTGATTGTTGAGATGTAGTAATGGATACTTGGTAAGGTTATTGAATTAGTTAAACGATCTTCAAAGCTTAGGTCATGTATCTTCATTAAACACATGGTGCTTTGCATTTACTAAAGAAGGGCTTCTGTTTTCTCTCCAAATAAATCATTGCGACCTTAGCACCCCAAGTGTAAAAACCTCTTTTATTTCTATTCTTGATCTCTAGTCCCTGCTTATGTGTATGCATAAATGCATGACACCGTGCTTCTCTTTTAGTTATTTATTTCTAGAGATCATGTCTTTGAAAATCATTATATTCCCAGCAACTATTTAGAGTGGTACTAAGCTAACTTGGTTTACAGTGTCAACCGCATAGCAGTTATTTGATTGGCCCATTCCTTTATAAAATATTTTATGCTTAGATGATGAACTCTACATAAATTCAGCCAGGAGAATGTTTTCCTTGGCATTCTCTGGGAGATTACAAATGTTACTTTTTTTTTTTTTTTTTTTTGAGATGGAGTCTCGCTCTGTCTCCCAGGCTGGAGTCCAGTGGCGCGATCTCGGCTCACTGCAAGCTCCACCTCCTGGGTTCACGCCATTCTCTTCCCTCAGCCTCCCGAGTAGCTGGGACTACAGGTGCCCGCCACCATGCCCGGCTAATTTTTTTGTATTTTAGTAGAGACAGAGTTTCACCGTGTTATCCAGGATGGTCTCGATCTCCTGACCTCATGATCCGCAAGCCTCGGCCTCCCAAAGTGTTGGGATTACAGGCTTGAGCCACTGTGCCCGGCCTACAAATGTTACTATTAACTCCTCCTTCTGCTAAGAAATAAACCAAAATAAAATTATTCACAAATATAACTGTTTTGATCATGCTTTCAGATGATATGTAAGGTAGCCCACAGAAGGTAAATAATATTCAGGGGAAATAAATTATTACTTAAGAGTGGGTGCTGAGAAAAAGAAATGTGTGAAGTGTGAGGTAGGAAGTATGTGAGAAAAGCTAGGCACAGTTGTGTCTTATATTTTTGTTAAAATCTGCCTGTTAAGACTTCCTGATTGGGTAATGGGAATGATACAGTAAAATACTCTTCCTCAGAGTGTCTGACACCATTGTGATAACTTACTACATAAAAGTACAAGTTATATTATATAAAAAGACAGAATGGCCTGGCTCAGTGGCTCATGCCTATAATCCCAGCACTTTGGGAGGCTGAGGCAGGTGGATCTTCTGAGATCAGGAGTTCGGGACCAGCCTGGCCAAAAGGATGAAACCCTGTCTCTACTAAAAATACAAAAAATTAGCCAGGCATGGTGGCAGGCACCTGTAATCCCAGCTACTCAAGGGGCAGAGGCAGGAGAATCGCTTGAACCTGGGAGACGGAGGTTGCAGTGAACTGAGATCGTGCCACTGCACTCCAGCCTGGGCAACAAGAGCGGAAACTCCGTCCCAAAAAAAAAAAATGACTCCAAGAAACTGAGGTTTCTAGATGAGGGTTACACAATGTGGATCTAAAAGCAACAGGGAAAGGAAAAGGATTTGGGCCTAGAATGTGGGGAAATTTTAGATGCTGCAGAAAGCCTTCTGGTGTCTTTCTAGAATGGCTGGATTTTGGTTAAGACAAAGAAGAAGTAACTTTTCATGGAGAACAGTAGCATACAGGAGTGCGGATGGTTTGATCATTTAAGGCAGGGATGTGAGGTTTGATGGAATATGTTGATAACAAAGATTCTTTGCTTGGCCAACTTTAGTCAGGCTTCTAAATCTTCAGCTAGGCTAAACTGTGCACTTCCTCACAAAATCCAGCATTAGCAAAGAACACTGCCAAGTTTACCAAAGACCCCCTCATTCTCAATATCTGATCAGGTTCTTCATTCTTCACCATTCTGCAGGTGATGTCTGATCACCCTGGCCAGTCTTCAGCAAGAATTC